>NW_021160013.1:199591-399183 GCF_000001405.40 Homo sapiens
CCATCAAGCTGTGTCTCCACAGCTGACCCTTGTAACCAGGAGGTGTTTTACAACATGTGCAAGGCAGTGAGCTCCATCAGCTGTGTGGCATTCAACACTCACTTCAACTCGGACATCTCACCAGAAAGCAGTGGGGACTGGCCAATGCAGAAGCCTGCAAAGTGGAACAGAGCGTCATGGGGTGGGGGATGTGGGGCCTGCCTGCTCATCTGAGCACTGCTCCCTGAGGGTGTGATCTGCAGGCTTCCTGAAGGAGGGCTGTGAGCTCTTCTGCGAGGCCCTGAGCCTGTGGAACATAGCTGAGGCCAAGCCCATGGGGATTTGTGTCTACTTGCACCTCCTTGCTCATCTCAGTACACTACAGGTGACTGTGCCGAGGTGGGCCTTGAGCATCCCCTGGGCTGTGTCAGCAAACGGCTCTGGGCCTGGCCTGGCATTGAGGGATGGCAAAAAAGGAGCCTGGGGTTGCATTGTCATCCCCTATGGTAGCATAAAATGAGAGAGTCCAGACCTGCAGGACTGGAACCCTAACAAAGGGGTTAGGAGACTGCTCACTTTCCCTCAGGAACCCATGTGGAGGAGCTGAGGGAGGTTAAGGAGACCCTAGGGACTCACTTGTTCTGTCTGGGCTTCCCCCTGCTCCATCGTTTGATGACCATTTTCTGGGAAGAGCTCAGGAACCTCCTGTGCTCTAGTGAGACGGGGCCTCCCCTCACAGGGTATTCTGAGACTGTGAGTGAGAAGCTAACACAGTGCCTTGCAATACTCACGGGAGCTGTCATCCTCTGTGACCATCACGTGGCCTTGTAGTGTTCAGACTGCCTGGCCTGCCTGGGGTTTGGTGAGGCTGTTTTGTGGTCAGCTGCTTTAGAAGCTCACTTTCTCTGCAATCAAACAGTGACTGTTTACATGTCTGTTTATGGGTTTAAAAAATCCTAATATTTCCTTTATAGTAGTTCACCTTGTATGTGTTTATTTGTATAAATTTTATTAGAATAAAGATAGCTTAAGACAATAGCATTTTAAGGTCTTAATGGGGCATAGACTTTCATGTCACAACAGCTAATGTTGACCTCCTTTTGCTGCCTTTGTGTAAATTACACATAAAAAGTGCAGCCAGAGGTGACTAGAGCTGAGCTGCTTGGGCTTGCTTGCTGGCCTGCAGTCAGGTGGACTCTGGCTGTGAGGCAGTGCCCACCCTGGATCTACATCCCCCACTCTCTCTCCTTAGTCCCTGAGTAACCAACAAGGCCGTGCTAATGAGAGGGCGAGTGATGGGCATCGGGCACCCCAATACTATCCGGGAAAATTTGAATGCCATCTGGGCTGGAGCTGTTGGGATTACGGGCTGAGGCTGTCTTGGCTTGTCATGGTGCCACCCACAGATGTGCCTGCCCTGTGCTGCTTCTCCAGAAGCCGGCTGCCCATGGCCCTGAGCCTGTCACACCATGCTTGCTACCTCATGCTGCTTGTGTTTGAAAAACCCATCCCGAGATGACGCTGCTGGATGTAAGTCCTGAAAAGAGGGCATCACCTTTGTCCTGGGGGATTAGGAGCTGACCAGATTCCTCTTGACTCCCTCCCAGAACAAGTGGGGCAGGTGCTGCAATTAATGTTGCCCCCTAGAAGATGTGTTTGCACTGGCTGAGCAAATATACGATGCAGAAACCTAAATGAAGACACGTGAATGGGGTGTGTGGACATCAGTTAGTAGCTGGGAAACAGGTGCCTCTCAGGCATCTCGTGTTCCAGCAAGTGTGGAATATGCCTGTGCCCATGAGTGTAGACATCTGAAGTGTATACATTTGGCTGCTGCTTTTGCTGCCACTATTCCCAGGCCCAACCTGGCTTAAAGTCCAGGTTTTAAGTAAAAAGTAGGAGGCTTTTTGCCATACAGCTACTTGAGAGGCTGAGGTGAAAGCATCACTGGAGCCTAAGAGATTGAGGCTGCAGTGACCCATGATTCAGCCACTGCACTGACACAGTGAGACCTGCGTGTGCCCTTCTACAGAGAATAGCTCTGGGGCATTTGGGGATCCCTACAGTCCCGGACCCTCCCTGTCCCCTGCTGCCTGTGCTCCTTTCCTTGCCTGCTGTCAGAGCCTAACATGGAGGCGGTTGCCACCCTGTGAGCCTGAGGGAGCTGTGTCTGACTGGAACTTCTGTCTGAGGTTTTGCGAAGTCTTACTTATGAATATGGTCTGTCCAGATACCTTGTTTCAAAGGAAGTGAGCATGAGATAGCAAGTGTAGCCACCCCACAGCTGATAAACAACTTTGTCTTGTTTTTAAATCATCAATCTTCATTTCACATTGGAATAAAGTAAGTGAAACCTGCTACCCGAGCCTCGCCCGTGTGTTCTGTAACCCAGACTCATGTGGTTGTGTGGGCTGTTGTCAGAAATGTTATAAAAAGGTTATGCATAAATTAGATCAAATATAAAATTATGCTTATAATGTCACTTGAGTGGGAGGTAAGAGGGTAGAGTCACAGGAAATCTGTTGGGGTTTACACCCCTGCTACTTACCAAGCTCATGAGAGTGTGGCACTGGTGACCATCACCTGACATTGGTGACAGAAGAGAAAAGGCCGAAGTGAAGGCCAGGTAGGAGAGAGGTGCCAGGCTGTGGGGCCAGGCCCTGCGCATGCTGGGCCTGTTAGGTCACTGAACATCTAACTACCCGGGAACCAGCTCTTTTCACATCATTTGAGGTAAGACGATGGGGGAGCACTCTCCAGAAGTCACACTGCGCTGGGAGAATGGAGGAGAGTCTACATACCGCCATCTTAGGGTAGGTTTTAGATTGAGCTGAACTGTCTTGGAGAGCTAATGAGATGGGAGGAAGACAGTCCCCCAGGTGCACCTAACAGCCAGAGCCTATGAAGTTATGGGGGTTGTGTGGGGGTGGCCTTTCCCTATAAGAGGAGGAGCTTAAAGCTCTTAAAGCTGGTGGCTGCTGCTCTGCCATCCCTCTACAGAGCAGTCAAGTCCTCAGCTGCAAGAATATCTGAATGTCTTTTGGAGTGTTAGAGTCCTCTGTGTCTTAGAAATTTTGAAAAGAAAAACAAATCTCAATTTTAATGTTGATTGGTTTCTCTGAGCCAGTTGGGAAAAAAGATGTCCTTCACCTCAAAGGTTTAAGTGACACCGAAGGGTAGCCACCAGTGTCTCGGCCACTGAAGCCTCATGCATGCTCTCACTACCAGTTTGATTTGCAGCCCCATAGTTGTGTTGTACTAAATATTCTTTCCTCTGGCCTTGTCCAGTGAACACGGTTCACATGGCTAACACCACTTCTTGAGATGCGAGCACCATGCAAAGCTGAGAACGGATTGGGTTTTGTGACCATTGTGCCTCCTCCTCACCTGAGAGGCCCATTTTTCCTGGTTGATTCATTAAGTGTATTGGTGCTGTCAGTCGCCTCTGGACAATTCAAATGACAAGTGGCTGTTGATTCATAAAGAAAATGAAGGCTTTAGATGTGAAACCCTCGTTTTCTCTTGTCCTTCTCTTAGGTGAAAGATTTTATTTTTTTCAAAAGGCTACATACTGGTATCCCAGCAGGTGTAGTGTGAGAACTGGCATATGTTAGGCTATGGTGTCAGTGTGGATGGGCAATTCTTCAAGATGGAAAACCAAGTCTCACTGAGTTGCTGGAGCCACAGTGACCTTTCTCCACATCCCCCACCGTGGGCTTTCACTTTTATCCTGTGCTTGAATTTTTTTCACATACAAATTCTTTATACACACACACAGACACACACACACATATCTCACTCTGTCAATGCAGTGGCTGAATCATGGGTCACTGCATCTTCAAATTCTTAGGCTCCAGTGATGCTTTCAAATCAGCCTCTCAAGTAGCTGGGACTACAGGCATGCAAAGCTACACCCAGACAATTTTTAAATATTTTTCTAGAGACTGAGCCTACTTATGTTGCTCAGACTCGTCTTGCACTCCTGGGATCAAGCGATAATCCCACCTTGACCACCCAAAGTGTTTAGATTACAGGTGTGAGCTAGCACTCTCAGCAAAAATATATTTTAAAGAACCGTTACAACCAAATTATGAGTTATCATTATGCCACTGCCCTCCACCCTGGGCACCAGAACAAGACCTTGTATCCAAAAACTAAGCAAAACTAAACAAGAACAAAAAAAAAAAACTTATAAATAAACTTTGAAGATTGTGTCATCTGTGTCCTTCCCTGCCCTCCAAGCTATCAATGTTAAATATAATGGTTATTGAGAAAATGGTTAGATATTATTAAGAAATTTCTATATATCTTCCAGCTGAGAATAGGTATTCTGTTGTGGCCCAAATATTTTCTCACCGCTACCTTCAGGGTCTAAACTAGCAAATCAGGACACCTGCAGAGGACAGTTGGCCGTTTTCAAATAGAAAGAGAAATACCCCCGTTCATGAGAGTAATCCAGTGATTTTCAAAAAGACAAGTCACACTGACATCCAGCGCAGTCAGGCCACAATTACCCTGGAATAATCACTTCACACAGAATGGTTGAGGAGACTTTCTAAGATGAGCAAATTTGGGCAGCATAATCCTTGCTTATTTATTCCCAGCCCCCACTGCCCGCCTGATTCCTAATGGCTACCCTACAATGTGGTCAGCAGTGGGATGTAGCGTGGTGAGAGAGGGGCTCAGGGACGGGATGAAGGTCTTTCCTGCATTATCAAAATGCAGGTTAAAAAGTTGTTAAAAAGATGTCCAAATGTTCTAATTCCTACTGTTAAATAGCTGCTAAGATGCATTATACAACAGACCCAGGTAAGGGAAGGAGCATGTGCATTTCAAGTCTCAGCTCACTTCTTAATTAGCTGTGATACTCTGGGCAGGTGACCCCAACTATACGAGCCTGTGTGCCTGTCAACCCAAAACAATCCTAAGCAAAAACACCAAAGCTTGGGGCATCTTGCTACCCGACTTCAAACTATACTACAAGGCTGCAGTAACCAAAACAGCACAGTACTAATACCAAAACAGATATATAGACCAATGGAACAGAACAGAGGCCTCAGTAATAACATCACACATCTACAACCATCTGATCTCTAACAAACCTGACAAAAACAAGCAATGGAGAAAGATTTACTACTTACCAAATGGTGCTGAAAGAACTGGCTAGCCACATTCAGAAAACAGAAACTGGACCCCTTCTTTACACCTTATACAAACATTATCTCAAGATGGATTAAAGTCTTAAATATAAAACACCAAACCACAAAAACCCTAGAAGAAAACCTAGGCAATACCATTCAGGACATAGGCATGAGCAAAGACTTCAGGAATAAAATACCAAAAGCAATCACAACAAAAGCTAAAATTGACAAATGAGATCTAATTAAACTAACGAGCTTCTGCACAGCAAAAGAATCTATCATCAGAGTGACCAGGCAACCTACAGAATGACAGAAAATTTTTGCAATCTATCCATGTGTCAGAGGTCTAATATCCAGAATCTACAAGGAACTTAATTTCACACACACACACAAAAAAAACATCAAAAAGTGAGTAAAGAATATGAACAGACTATTCTCAAAAGAAGACATTTGGCTGGGCGTGGTTGATCAAGCCTGTAATCCCAGGACTTTCAGCCATGGAGGCAGGTGGATCATGAGGTCAGGTGTTCAAGACTAGCCTGGGCAACATGGTGAAACCATGTCTCTACTAAAAACACAAAAAATTAGCATGGTGTTTTGGCGGGTGGCTGTGATTCCAGCTTCTTGGGAGGATAAGGCAGGAGAATCACTTGAACCTGGGTGGCAGATGTTGCAGTGAGCTGAGATCCTGCCACTGCACTCCAGCCTGGGTGACAGAGCTAGACTCCGTCTTTAAAATAATAATAAATAAAATAAATAAAAAGAAAAGGAAGAAGGAGAAGAAGAAGAGGAAGAAGAAGAAGAAGAAGAAGAAGAAGAAGAAGAAGAAGAAGAAGAAGAAGAAGAAGAAGAAGACATTTATGTGGTCAACAAACACACAAAAAGGAAAAAGAAAAAAGCTCATCATCACTGATGATTAGAGAAATGCAAATCAAAACCACAATGGGATACCATCTCACACCATTTGGAATGGCAGTTATTAAAATGTCAGGAACAACAGATGCTGATGAGGCTATGGAGAAATAGAAACGCTTTTACACTGCTGGGGGCGGGAGTGTAAATTACTTCAACCATTATGGAAGACAGTGTGGTGATTCCCTAAGTATCTAGAACCAGAAATACCATTTGACCCAGCAATCTCATTACTGGTTATATACCCAAAGGAATATAAATCATTCTAGCATAAAGACACATGCACTCATATATCTATTGCAGCACTGTTTACAATAACAAAGACTTGGAACCAACCTAATGCCCATCATTGATAGACTGGAAAAAGAAAATGTGGCACATATACACCATGAAATAATATTCAGCCATAAAAAGAATGAGTTCATGTCCTTTGCAGGGACGTGAATGACACTGGAAACCATTCTCTTCAGCAAACTAACACGGGAACAGGAAACAGAACACCGTATGTTCTCACTCATATGTGGGAGTTGAACAATGAGAACACATGGACACCGGGAACAAAACATCACACACTGGGGCCTGTTAGGGTGTTGAGGTCAAGGGGAGGGAGAAAATTAGGACAAATACCTAATGCATATGGGGCTTAAATCCTAGACGTCAGGTTGATAGAAGCAGCAAACCACCATGGCACATGTAAACCTATGTAACAAACCTGCACGTTCTGCACATGTATTCCAGAACTTAAAGTAAAACAAACTAACAAAAATGCACTAAGGCTGAGGGGGAGTGGGGGTAGGGGCAGGAGTCAGGCGGGGGTGGGTGAGTCCTGGAGTTTTATCCAGTCATTGACACTGATGTGGGAACAGCCCAATCAGGCGCGCAGTTGGAGAGGACAGGAGAGGAGGGCGTGGCTTCTGGCGTTTGGCGGGTCTTTGTCTCTCGCTGGCGCTGGCACAGGAACTTGGGATCCGTCTCCTCTTTCGCCTCCTCCGCTTTGGGAGCCCCGGGCTACTCTTTCACAGCCCCTGTTGCCCTGTGATCTGTAGGTCCTTGGGGACGCACAGTTAAGATGACAGGACATCCTGGAAGCTGGGAAATGGTGAGTATACGGGGTTCGGCATCCCGAGAGGGGAGAGCAGGCTGTGAAACCGGCAGGACCGGCCCCCACGGTTAGCTCCGAGTCTCCCGCAGCTTGGCCCTCAGTCCCCTGTGGCTGCAAGATGGCCGCTGGGCCAGCATCGAGGACCCCCACATCCGGCCTGGCCCATCCGGTGCTGTCCCTGGGCAGCGCCCTGCTCTGCGCCCACAGCCATGAGTATTTCCCAGATTGTTCAGGGAGGCCTGGTGGGTCATCAGGGAAAAACTGCCACTGGGTGTTTGCGTGGGAGGAGCTGCGGCCCGTGGGGTCCCCAGTCTCTCTTGTTAAAAATTAACGGGAGTCTATGTTAAAACGTTAACCAGTTTATCTGAACAAACAGTGATTGGTGAAATGGAAAGCACCCAGCCATGATTTCTGGTCCACCAGAGGGGCATAAAGGAAAGGCTTTCATAAGATGCATGAGAAAGCAGCCCAAATTCAAAAATTGGTTCCAGTTATGTAGTCACCTTATTTGAACTATCCAGATGGAAATGTCCTGGTTACATATTCAGAGGTTAATTGCATGTTTGCCATTGGTTAAACGTGCATTTTGTTTCAGGCTAAGATAATGCTTTATAGGAAATGTATTTGAGTTAGGTTTTAGTTTTTGTTTTTTTTTTTTTAACCTATGAACCCAGGACACTAGAGCCACTTTAGTCTAATTTTCTGCTCTTTAATTATTTTAACACTCCAGAGGAGGACTGGTTTTCTCCTGTGTTTTTTTAATATATGGCAAGTGGAACCTCTAATCGACCACCCTGTTTTTCAGCCTAACTCAGGCTTGTGGTAAAATTATCAGTTCCCACTTTCTTTGCTGCATTCTCAAATGCAACACAGGAGAACAGCTTTCCCTTGCAAATTCACAATGCTGTTAACTATTTGTCCTTTATTATACATTTCATTAAAGTTTTCTATTATTGGATTTCTTTCTACTTCTCCCTACAGTTCTGCCCATATTTGCTTTTTATATTTAGAAGCCTCCCTTTTGGGTGCATAAATATATATAGCTATATTCACTTGACAAATTAACCTCTATTATTATTGTATGGTAAACTCATTTCATGCTTGTGAGAGACATTGCTAGAAAGTCTATTTTGTCTAATTTAAGCATAACTACCATTGAACTCCTTTGGCTATTATTTGCATGGAATATCATTTTCTATCCTTTCACTTTTAGCCTATGCTCTTAATTCATAATTGAGTCTCTTGTAAGCAGCATATTACGAGGTTTAAAAGTTTCATTTATCCACTCTGTCTGCTTTAGTCTCTTTTGGCTGTTATAACAGAATATCACAGACTGGTAATTAATAAAGAACAGAATTTTATTTGACTCATGATTCTGGAGGCTGGGAAGGTAAAAGAACATGTTACTGGTATCTGTTGAAGGTCTAGTTGCTGGATAATAACATGGCCAAAGATGTGAGGGAGAGACAGCTTTTTTTTTTTTAATATATAACAGATCCATTCTTGTTAAAATTAGCCCATTCCCATAATAAGAACATTAATCCATTCATGAGGGCAGAGTGCTTATAGCTTAATTAATTTTTAAAGGTTCCACCTCTTAATTCTTTCACATTGGCCATTTTATCCTAAATTTTGGAGATGACATTCAGTCTACAGAAGTATCTGTTTAGTAGATAATTTAATCTTTTTATTTGTAAGGTAGTGATAAGTAAGCAGTTACTATTGTACATTTGTAGTTTTCTGTCCATTTTAAGTTTGCTTCTTTTTTTTCTGGTTCTGTCTTTCCTGTGGTATTGTTCATTTTTGTTGAGACAAAGTTATGCTTTCTTGCTCAGACTGAAGTTCAGTGGCATATCACAGCTCACTGTAGCCTCAATCTCCTGGGCTCAAGCAATCCTCCCCCCTTAGCCACCCAAGTAGCTTGGACTACTTGGACACGTACCACAACACCCAAGGAGCTTATGATTCTTCCACCTTGGCCTCCAAAAGTGTTGGAATTATAAGCAGGAGCCACTGTATCCAATGTGTAATTTTTGTTGTTTGTGTATGCTTTAATTACTTTCTCTTTTTCTTTACTATGTTTTTTTTTCCCCCAGTGGTTATCATGAGACTTATGTAAAACCTCTTGTATTTTAATAGTCTAGTTTAAGATGATAACAATTTAGAGTATTCTGAATTTCAGTATGTATTTACCATTTTTAGTGACATTTATACTTTAGTATTTTTCATATTGTTAGTTAGCATTTCATCATATCAATGTGAAGATTTCTTCCAGACCATGGCTGGAGAAGGAAAGAAGGTGTGTTTTGCCTGATTCAGGGACTATAGAGAGAACCAAGTTCTGCAGGCCTGTCACCTAAGTCTCAGATGAGTATGAATTCTTTTGTGTTTTTCACAGATTTTTGCAGTGGCAGGACCAAGTTCAAATGAGTCATAGCCAAGTTTACAGTAAGATGTGGTAGTATTCTGTTTTGAACCGAGGACCATGATTGGCAAGCTTGCCACTTGGTCAAGTGCTTACCCTCTAAAGATGTCTTCCTTGGTCTTTGCCTCCAGCTGGGTGTCACAAACTCTGAACTGGATTCTAAGGCTTTCATGAATGCACTTATGTTTCCCGTGGCAGCTGCATTATGTTGTGGGGGATGTGCATGCCGAACCTCCCATTCTGTCATCTTGCTTATGTTACTCTCCTTTATGTTTCACTTTCTCAAATGAATGTCAAGCTGGTGATTTTTAGATTCAAAAATTCTAAAATAAATTGCTCAAATTTCCACATTATGTAAGCTATTAATAAAATGTCTTGTAGGTGCTACATATTTATTAAAATTTTTGGTTGTAATTTTAAGCTCACTGCAGGCAGAAAGGAATCATTAACATTTATATTCTTTTTTTTAGTCTGTATCTAAATGATGGCATATTTTAATTCCAGATATTTACTTTATACTGCAGTAATGCTCGTCATATTTTGCAAAATTTATGTTGTTCTTTTATTTGGAAATATAAGGCTTTTTTAGCTCCTGAAATCTATATTATAGTCATATAATTTTATTATGTTTTGTGGTAAGAAGTGCAGCAACATATTGAGAACATAATAAAATTATCCTGTATTTTTAATGATTATTTATTAAATTCCTCTCATTAGAGCCTGTTATTAATGATTGTAATGTATTTTCTGTATAATTTTACTGCAATTTATTAAATTCTAATGACTTAAATTGTCTGCTTTTCATGAGTGCACACAGTTGAATGCTGTAGATATCTAAAGAATTATTTTTCGGCCGGTTGTGGTGGCTCATGCCTGTATTCCCAGCACCTTGGGAGGCCAAGGCGGGTGGATCACGAGGTCAGGAGATCGAGACAACCCTGACTAACATGGTGAAACCCCGTCTCTACTAAATATACAAAAAATTAACCGGGCATAGTGGCAGGCGCCTGTATCCCCAGCTACTCAGGAGGCTGAGGCAGGAGAATGGCGTGAACTCAGTGGACAGAGTTTGCAGTGAGCCGAGATCGCGCCACTGCACTCCAGCCTGGGCAACAGGGCAAGACTCTGTCTCAAAAAAAAAATAAAAAAAAAAACGGTTATTTTCCATTGTAAATCTATGTTGTATTCAGGATTTTATGCACGAAAATCTCTCTTCTTATTTTCAAGTCCGTGTTATTGTGTTTCTTTTCTTGGGAGTTATGTTTTCTCAGATCAGTTAAATGTATTTTTATTTTAAAGCTTGATATCATCAGTTGAAAGATAATTTTTAGCTCGGTACACTTTATCTCAATGTGATGTTTAATATATGTGTGAATTAGCTGTGTTTGTTGCTTATAGATATATCTGTATGTTTTTCACTTATGTAAGTATGACATCTTTTTCCTTGTTTTTTTGTTTTTTTCTTTTCAGTTTCAGATAGGCTTTTTTTTTTTTTTAAGAGAATTTTAAAACAGAGTCGAAAGAAGAGAAATCAGTTATTTGTCCTCTTGCAGGGTGGGGAGACAACTTCCTTCCCCACAGGTTTGAGGCTATGCCTAAGTGGTGAGTCTTGAGGAGATGCAGAAAGGATCCATCCCAGGCACTTGGCTGGACTTAAGTAAGCATAGCCTTTAGGCCACAAGACCTGATGGTTTGGGTACTGGTCTGGACATAAGTCCCCATCTTCCCAGAAATATCGTCTTTTGTCTGCAACAACTGGCTGGAGAAATATTTCAGAAAGATATGTGTCTGGAACACCCAAAGGCATACTTTTCCTTTCTCCTTGGCATAGGCCTTGCAGCACTGAAGAAAGACCAGGTTTGCAATGGAGCCTTCAACAGTCTTCATCCCTATGGAACTCAGGGTCTCATAGGGTGACAGGAGAGGAGACAAAGCTAACTTGGGAAGAGTCTCTGTCCTTCAGCTTCTCCCCTACTGAAACACTATATATTGGGCCCACAGTTCATCACAAAACACACATGCTCTCTTTCTTTCTCTCACACCCACATCTTGGGAACCCAAAAACTTGATGGCAGGTAGCTCTGGGTATCCTTGGTCTGGCATTCACCCACTGGGAATCTAAGCTGTCCTAAAGCTCTTTTCAATCACTTCTCACTGTTTCCAGGCCCATGTGGGTAGGTGTTCCAGGCTTCATTCTTTCAGGCTGATCATAAAGGCACAGTGTGGGAAAATCCCCTACTGTGATGGCCATTGCTGGGAAGCAGGAAAGGCTAAGGGCCCACTGCTGCCCAAGGCTAGTATAGATGCCCTCTGCTCCACTCATGTCCTCAAAGACTGATATCAGGTGCAGCAGCTGCTGTCTGGAATGTTATCAAACCAGGACTGCACAGGCACTGCATTCTCTGTGTGGAAGACGTAAGAAGCAGGCGAGTTGTCCAGGATGAGAGTTTTCCTCAGGTCCCTCCCCAGATGGCTGAGGTCATTGACATAGCAGCCCTGGTGGAACAAACGTGACTCATGGGCTAGGCAACCCCAGAACACCTCACACTGGTCCAGCACACCCATCACAATGTGTCTGGAATTGGTGGGTTCTTGTTCTCACTGACTTCAAGAATGAAGCCACAGACCCTCACGGTGAGTGTTACAGTTCTTAAAGGTGGCATGTCTGGAGTTTGTTCCTTCTGACATTCGGATGTGTTGAGAGTTTCTTCCCTCTGGTGGGCTCGTGGTCTCGCTGGCTCAGGAGTGAAGCTGCAGACGTTCGCGGTGAGTGTTACAGCTCTTAAGGTGGCACATCTGGAGTTGTTCATTCCTCCAGGTGGGTTCGTGGTCTCGCTGGCTTCAGGAGTGAAGTTGTGGACCTTCACAGTGAGTGTTACAGCTCATAAAGGCATTGTGGACCCAAAGAGTGAGCAGCAGCAATATTTATTGCAAAGAGCAAAAGAACAAAGCTTCCACAGTGTGGAAGGGGACCCGAGTGGGTTGCCACTGCTGGCTGGGGCAGCCTACTTTTATTCCCTTATCTGGCCCCACCCACATCTTGCTGATTGTTAGAGCCGAGTGGTCTTTTTTCACAGGGCGCTGATTGGTGTGTTTACAATCCCTGAGCTAGACACAAAGGTTCTCCACATCCCCCCCAGTGTAGCTAGATACAGAGTGTTGATTGGTGCATTCACAAACCCTGAGCTAGACACAGGGTGCTGGTTGGCATGTTTACAAACCTTGAGCTAGATACAGAGTGCCGATTGGTGTATTTACAATCCCTGAGCTAGACACAAAGTTTCTCCACGTCCCTACCAGACTCAGGAGCCCAGCTGGCTTCACCCAGTGGATCCCCCACAGGGTCTGCAGGTGTAGCTGCCTGCCAGTCTGGCACTGTGCACCCGCACTTCTCAGCCCTTGGGTGGTTGATGGGACTGGGTGCTGTGGAGCAGGGGGCGGCACTCATCCAGGAGGCTTGGGCACACAGGAGCCCACCGATGGGGGGGAGGCTCAGGCATGGCGGGCTGCAGGACCCAAGCCCTGCCCTGTGGGATGGCAGCTAAGGCCCAGCGAGAAATTGAGCACAGCAGCTGCTGGCCGAGGTGTTAAGCCCCTCACTGCCTGGGGCCGGTGGGGCCAGCCGGCGGCTCCGAGTGTGGGGTCCGCCGAGCTCGCGCTGGCCTTCAAGCACTGCACGCCGCCCTGGTTCCCACACGCACCTCTCCCTCCACACCTCGTCGCAAGCTGAGGGAGCCGGCTCCGACCTTGGCCAGCCCAGAAAGGGGCTCCCACAGTGCAGCGACAGGCTGAAGGGCTCCTAAAGTGCCGCCAAAGTTGGAGCCCAGGCAGAGGAGGCCCGGAGAGTGAGCAAGGGTTGTGAGGACTGCCAGCACGCTGTCACCTCTCAACAGGATCTGCATACTTGTTCAGTCTGGAATGAAGAGAGCAATGAAGAAAACACATTTAAACAGTTCCTCCAGTCATCTCAGGAACTCATCCATATAAGGCCTCATGGTCCCCTCAATCTTTACAGTCACTAGGCAGTCAGCATTGCTGATTGGCTTAATGGAGCTATGCACAAGGGTTTCATCCATGTCAGTGACCATACAGATCGTTCCTTGATTTTTCTCTGTCACCTCTGGGAGCAGGCAGGTCCCTGGGATCTGATAAAACTGATACTGGAGACCCTTGAGCTGATCCGACTTAGCAATGGTGTTGACTCCCTCCTTATGTGTGGAGAACTCAGTGGGGGAACTTGACTTGCCAACATGCTGGGTGCAAGAACAGCAGAAAGGTACCTTCTAAGATGTCACAAACATGAGGCCTCTTCGGAGAGCACTTTGGAAACCAGGCCTTGCTTGCTAAGGACCAGGGCATCTTCCCTCCATGCCTGGGTGGTGATGGAGCCTGGTTCCATCTAACAATCCTGAGGGCTCGGCTGGCTGGGTGGGAAGACAGCGGGCACGTTGGCTGGACTGGGCTGGGGGGCATGGGCTGGGGCCTGATTCAGTTCCCGAGAGTCTGACTTCCACAGCTGTTCACATACCCCTTCTCCTTTCCATCACAGGCCGGGAAGGGAGGCGGCCTGTATGGACGGTGGATGGCCTTGGCAGCAGCTCCCCAGGGTGCCCCCAGCCCCAAATCCCCCAGCAGGAGCTTCAGGATCCTCAGTTTGGGTCTAACCTAGGGAATCCACCTCATACTCATGTTTTTTCAAGTTTTATTTTAAGTTCAGTGGTCCATATGTGATAAGCTTTTTTTTCAACTTTTATTTTAAGTTTAGGGGTCCATGTGCAGGATATGCAGGTCTCTTACATAGATAAACGTGTGCCATTGTGCTTTACTGCACAGATCATCTCATCACCCAGGTACTAAGCCCAGCATCCGCAGCTATTCTTCCTGCTGCTCTCCTTCCCCTCCCCCATGCCATGAAACAGGTGTCCAGTGTGTGTTGTTCTTCCTGATGTGTCCATGTGTTCTCATTGATCTGCTTCTGCTAATAAGTTAGAATAATAATAGGTGGTGTTTGGTTTTCTGTTCCTGCATTAGTTTGCTGGGAGTAGTGGCTTCAAATTCCAACCATGTCCCTGCAAAGGACATCATCTCATTACATTTTATGGCTTCATAGTGTTCCATGGTGTATGTGTACCACATTTTCTTTATCCAGTATATCATTGATGGGCATGTAGATTGATTACATGACGTTGCTATTGTAAATATTGCTGCAATGAACATATGTATACATGTTTATTTAAAATAGATTTATATTCCTTTGGGTGTATGCCCAGTAATAGTATTGCTGGGTCAAATGGTATTTCTGCTTCTAGGTCTTTGAGGAATCTCCACACTCTCTTCCACAATGCTTGAAATAATTTACAATCCCACCAACAGTGTAAAAGTGTTCCCTTTTCTCCACAACCTCACCAGCATCTGTTTTTATTTCTTTTTTACTTTTTATTAATAGACATTGTAATTGGTGTGAGATGGTATCTCATTGTTGTTTTGATGTGTATTTATCCACTTATCAGTGATGTTGAGCTTTCCATGTTTGTTGGGCACATGTATGTCTTCTTTTGAGATATGTCTGTTCATGTCCTTTGACCACTTTTTAATGGGGTTGTTTGTTTTTCTCTTGTAAATTTTAAGTCCCTCATAGATTCTGGGTATTAGATATTTGTCAGATGAATAGGTTGCAAAATTTTTCTCCCATTCTCTAGCTTCTCTGCTCTGATGATAGCTTCTTTGGCTCTGTGGAATCTCTTTAGTTTAATTAGACCCCATTAGTCAATTTTTGCTTTTGTTGCTATTTCTTTTGGTCTTTTTGTCATCAAATCTTTCCTCATGACTATATCCTGAATGGTATTTTCTAGATTTTTTCTTCTAAGGTTTTTATAGTTTTGGGTTTTACATTCAAGTCTTTAATCCATCTTGAGTCAATTTTTGTCTATGGTGTTAGGAAGGGTTCCAGTCTTAATTCTCTGCACATGACTAGCCAGTTATCCTAGCACTATTTATTGAATAGGGAGACTTTTCCCTAATTCCTTGTTTTTGTTGACTTTGTCAAAGATCAGTTTGTTGTAGGTTTTTGGCTTTATTTCTATGCTCTCTATTTTGTTTCATTTGTCTATGTGTCTGTTTCTATACCAGTACCATGCTGTTTTTGTTACTGTACTCTTCTAGTACAGTTTGAAGTTAGGCAATGACCCTTTCAGCTTTTTTTTTTTTTTTTTTCTTAAGGTTGGCTTGGCTATTTGGGCTCTTTTTTGGTTCCATTTTAATTTTAAAAAGTTTTTTTTTTCTAATTATCTGAAGAATGTCAGTAGTTCAATGGGAACAGCATTGAATCTATAAATTACTTAGGGCAATATGCTCATATTCGTGGTACTGATTCTTTCTCTCCGTGAGCATGGAATGTTTCTCCATTTGTTTTGTGTCCACTCTGATTCCTCTGAGTAGTTGTTTGTAGTTCTCCTTGAAGATATCCTTCACTTTCCTTCTTAGCTGTATTCCTTGGTATTTTTTTCTCTTTATAGCAAATGTGAATGAAAGTTCATTCATGATTTGTCTCCCTGCTTGCCTGTTGCTTGTGTATGGGAATGCTAGCTACTTTTGCAGATTGATTTTATATCCTGAGATTTTGCTACTGCTGCTTATCACCTTAAGAAGCTTTGGGGCTGAGACGAAGAGGCTTTCTAGATATAGGGTCAGGTCATCTGTAAACAAAGATAATTTGACTTTCTCTCTTTCTATTTGAATACTGTTTATTTCTTCCTCTGGCCTGATTTTCCTGGACAAGTTTTCCGAATGGGAGTTGTAATGCGAGTGGTGAGAGAGAGCATACTTTTCTTGTGCCGGTTTTCAGGGGGAATGTTTCCAGCTTTTGCACATTCAGTATGATATTGGCTGTGGGTTTGTTGTATATGGCTCTTCTTATTTTGAGGTATGTTTCTTCAGTTCCTAGTTTATTGAGAATTTTAAACGTGAAGGAATGTTGAATTTTATTGGGTGCTTTTTCTGCATCTATTGAGGTAATCATGTGTTTTTTTTATTTAGTTTTCTTTATGTGATGAGTCACATTTGTTGATTTGCATATGTTGAATCAACCTTGCATCCTGGGGACAAAGCCAATTCCATTGTGGTGGATGCACTTTTTAATGTGCTGCTGGGTTTGGTTTGCCAGTATTTTATTGAGGATGTTTGCACAGTGTTCATCAAAGACATTGGCATGATGTGTTGTTGTTGTTGTTGTTGTATCTATGTTAGGTTTTGGTATCAGGATGATGCTGGCCTGATAGAATGAGTTAGACAGAACTTCTTTGTCTTCAATTTTTTTTGGATAGTTTTAGGAGAAAATGTACTATCTCCTCTTTACCTCAAGTCAAATTCAGCTTGCTTGGTAGGCTAGTTCTTACTGCCTCAATTTCAGAACACATTATTGATCTATTCAGGGTTCAGTCTTGTGGAGAGTTTATTTTGCAAGGAAATTGTCCATTTCTTCTAGATTTTCTGGTTTATGAGCATAGAGGTGTTTATAGTATTCTCTGATCATTGTTCTTATTTCCATGGGATCAGTGATGATATCTCCCTTATTATTTCTATTTGTGTTTGGTTCTTTCTTTTCTTATTTATTTGCCTAACTAGTGTTCCATCTAGTTTATTAATTTTTTTTTTTTTTTTTCATAAAAACAGCTCCTGGATTGGTTGAGTTTTTTTTTTTTTTTTTTTTTTTTTTTGGAAGAGTTCTCAGTGTCTCTATCTCCTTCAGCTCTACTCTGATCTTGGCTATTTCTTGTTTTCTGCTAGCTTTCAGGTTTGTTTTCACTTGGTTTTCTTGTTCTTTTAATCAAGATGTTAGGCTGTTAACTTCAGATCTTTCTAATTTTTTTTTTTTCTTGTGGGAGAGTTTCACTCTGTCACCCAGACTGGAGTACAGTGGCATAATCTCGGCTCACTGCAACCTCCTCTTCTCGGTTTTAAGTCACTTCTGCTGTCTCAGCCTCCTGAGTAGCTGGGATTACAGATGTGAATCACCACACCTAGCTAATTTTTGTATTTTTTTGTAGAGATATGGTTTTGCTGTTGGTCAGGCTGGTCCTGAACACCTGGTCTCAAGTGATCTGCCTACCCCAGCCTCCCAAAGTGCTGGAATTACAGGCATGAGCCACCATGACTGGCCCTTTCTAGCTTTTTGATGTGGACATTAGTGCTATAAATTTTCCTCTTTTCTTGGTTTCTAGTGATTATTTTATTCTATCTTGGTGAGTAGTCAGGGAAATAATCTTAAATTTACAATCAACTTATAGTTTAAATCTAAAAAATTATGTGAGAAGAACCCTTTGTTATTTGAAGGGGATGTTTGAAGATTTTGTAACCGTGCCTTTTAGGTAGTCCTAAATTTCTAATTGTAGTTAAAAACATGCCATTTTCATTTCTAACATTTTAAGTATATGGTTTAGAAGTGGTAAGTATAGTTCTATTTTTTTTGCAATAGGTTTTAGATAATTTTTGTCTTACAAAATTAAAAGTGAATACTCATTAATTCTGAAACAAGTTAGTTAGCTTGCTTTAGTTAGATAGCAAGAGAAGGGTCCCTGGAAAGTCCCTGGCCCTTGGGTCAGTATCTCATCCCTGCATAACATAAAAGGAATCCTGGAAAAAATCAAGCTGCAGACACTAACAAGGTAACTAGCACATGGTGTTGTGCTTGGAGACCTGCCCATGGCTGCCCAGACAGAAAAACCTCTGGCCCATTTGGATAAAAACTGGTACAAACCTCCAGCTCACTGAGATAAGGGAACAAGACCGACCTGGCATAGAATTGCCTTTGTTTGGCCAGGCATGGTGGCTCATGCCCGTAATTCCAGCAATTTGGGCGGAAGTGGACGGATCACCTGAGGTCGGGAGTTCGAGACCAGCATGACCAACATGGAGAAACCCTGTCTCTACTAAAAATACAAAATTAGCCGGGCATGGCGCCTCATGCCTGTAATCCCAGCTACTTGGGAGGCTGAGGCAGGAGAATCACTTACATCCAGGTGGCGGAGTTTGCTGTGGGCCGAGATCGCACCACTGCACTCCAGCCTGGGCAACAAGAGCAAAACTACGTCTCAAAATAAATAAATAAATAAATAAATAAATAAATAAATAAATAAATAAATAATAAGAAAGTACATCTCAAAAAAAAATGAAAGAAAGAAAGAAAAGAAAAAGAAAAAAAGAAACGCCTTTGTACTTTGTGCAGTCAGTGCGCTCCCAGGAAAATGTTTCTTCTCCTTCTGTGGGCATAAGCACAGTGGGCTCTGGTGCATTCCGGTCGACACTCTCCTTTATTTGGACTGTAAGTCTGACCTCTGTGAATAATTACTTCAGCCCCTGATTGCTCCCGGGACAAGCTCCTGCGCCAAGCTTTCACTTTGGCTTCTGATAAGTCCTGGGCCAATCTAAATAGCATGTATGAATCATCCTTCAGCTCCTGATTGGTCCCGGGCCAAAGTCCTGGGCCAAGCTGAGCCACACTTTTTTCAAGACAGCCTGTGAACTAAGCACATTTCCTTCTCTTCCTTTCCCAGTCCATAAAAACCTTGGGCCCCAGCCTCACAGAGGTCACCCCATTCAGAAACTATCTCTGCTGGCAAAGAGCTTTCTTCTCTTGCTTATCAAACTTTCACTCTAACCTCACCTTTGTGTTCACGCTCCTTAATCTCCCTAGAAGTAGAACAAAGAACTTTCGATGCTATCTCAGACTATGAGAGACTGTTACATCTTGGTGCACTGCTGAGACTACAACACTTGGTTTCTTTGAGTTTGACTAAATATTTTACATAGGTGTAATTATACAGTTTTCCTTTTTGACTGTCTTGTTTTACTTAACAGAATGTTTTCGAGATTTGTCCTTATTGTAGTACTTTTCAAGATTTCCTTATTTTTAAGGCTGAATGCTATCCCAGTGAATATACGTGCCCTGTTTGTTGAATCTACTCATCCTTAAAGGTACATTTGCTTCCAGGTAGTATGTTTGTGAGTAATGCTACAGTGTACATAAATGTGCATATATCTATTCCATGTTCTGCTTTGCCTGTTTGGGATATTTTTCACACACTGATTTAGTACCATGTGTATTCCCTTGCTTTTGTTGTCTGATTCGTTGATGTTACATCCCCCAAATTATTGCCGAGACCAATTGTCATGAAGCTTCACCCTTCTGTATTGTGCTAGGAATTTTACAGCTATAGATTTTACATTATAGTCTTCATATTTTAAAATTGACACATGTAATTGTACAAATTTTGGGGAAACAATTATGTATATATGTTGTATAGCAATAAAAATCAGAGTACTTAGTGTAATTATTGCCTCATACATTTGTTATTTTTGTGGTGAGAACATTCAAAAGCTTCTTCTCTAGCTATTTTTTTATATCTTTATATATTAACTTTTTTTAGAGACAGGATCTTGCTCTAACACACAGATTGGAGTGCAGTGGTGCAATCCTAGCTCACTGTAACCTCAAACAATCTTCTAACCTCAGCTTCCCAATTAGCTGAGACTACAGGAACCTGCCTCCATGCCTGGATAATGTTTTAATTTTTCATAGAGACAGGGTCACACTATGTTGTCCAGGCTCATCTTGAACTTCTGACGTCAAGTGATTCTCCTACCTCATTCTCCCAAAATGTATGGATGGCAGGAATGTGCCACCACAACTGGTCTCTTTTAGCTATTTTGTAATTTGAGATAACTTTTCATTAATTATTATTATTCTGCCGTGTAACAAAAAACAAAAACTTATTTCTCCTATCTAATTGTAACACAATACTTTTGAAGCTGCCTTTTCCCATCTCCCTGCTTCAGTCTCTGGGAACCCCTGTTGTACTCTTTGCTTATATCAACCCTTTTTTTCAGGTTCCTCAAATGAGTGAGATAATAAGATCATAAAGTATTTGTGTTTCTCTATGTGGCTTATTTTACTTAACATGGTATGCTCAAGGTTCATCCATGCTCTTTTAACTGACAGAATTTTATCCTTTCTTATAGCTGAATAGTATTTCACTGTGCATATATAGTACATTTTCCTTATCCATTTATCTGTTGCTGTACATTTGAATTGATTCCATATATAAGCTATTATAACTAGTTCTGTAACTAACATGGAAATGCAAATATCTTTTTGACACAGTGATATCCTTTCTTTTGTATATACATGCAGGAGTAAAATTGCTGGATCATGTAATACATCTATTTTTAATTTCTTTCAGAAACCTCCATAGTATTTTCTATAGTGGCCATACTAATTTACAATTCCACCAACAATGTATACATTCACTCATTTTATATCCTCATTAGTACTTGTTTTATTTATTTATTTATTTTTATTATAGCCATTCTAAATGGGAGTGAGGCGGTACCTCATTGTGGTTTGGATTTTCATTTCCTTAGTGATTAGTAATGTAGAACATATTTTTATGTTCCAGTTAGCCATTTTTGTATCACTTTTTGACAAACATCTATTAAGATGTTTTGCATTTTTTAATTAGATTATAAGTGTATTTTATTTTGAGATTTTAAAGTTTCTTATTTATTCTGAATATTAGCCTTTTGTCATATGTATAGCCTGAAAGCATTTTCTTTTATTGCCTAAGCTGTCTCTTCAATCTTTTAGTTTTTTTAATATGGAAAAGCATTTTAGTTTGACATAATGTTGTTTGCTTATTTTTGATTTTGTTGCCTATGTTTTGACATGTTATTTTAATAATCCTTTCCCCGTCGAATGTTATAAAGCATTTTTTAGTTTTTCTCTAATAGTTTCATAATTGATAGCATTACATTTAAGTCTTTAGTTTGAATTGATTTTCATATATGGCAAGGCACAGGGGTCTAGTATAATTTTTCTGAATTTAAATATTTAAATGGCCCTGCATCATTTATTGAAGAAATTAGCTTTTCCCTAAAGTGTGTTCTTGGCAATTTTGTTGACAATCAGTTGGCTTTAGGTGCATAAACTAACTTCTGGGCTTCTTGGGCACATTAGTCTATGTGTTTGTTTTTATGCCAGTACAGTGCTGTTTTGGTTACTATAGCTTTGTAGCAAGTTTTGAAGTTTGATAAAGTGATGCCTTTAGCTTTGCTTATTTTGCTCAAAGTTATTTGTCTATTCAGAGTTTTTTGTGGATCCACATAAATTTAAAATATTTTTTCTATTTCTGTGAAAAAATGTCATTGATATTTTGATAAAAATCACGTTAGTCTCTAGATCACTTTGGGTAATTAACAGTATTCTTCCAGTGTATAAACACAAGATTTTTTCATTTATTCATTTGTATTTTATATTTTTTATCCATGTTTTGTCATTTTCAGAGTAGAGATCTTGTACCTTTTAAGTTAAGTTTGTTGCTAGGTGTATTAGTCGGGCTCCCTAGAGAGATCACAAGATCTCACAATAGGTTGTCTGCAAGTTTTAGGAGCAAGGAGAGGCAGTCCACGTCCCAAAGCTGAAGAACTTGGAGTCTGGTGTTTGAGGGCTGGAAACGTCCAGCACAGGAGAAAGATGTAGACTGGGAGCTTAGGCCAGTCTCTCCTTTTTACGTTTTCCTGCCTGCTTTATATTCATTGGCAGCTTATTAGATGGCGCTCACCCAATTAAGAGTGGGCCTCCCTTTCCCAGCCCATTGACTCAAATGTTAATCTCGTTTGTCAACACCCTCACAGGCACACCCAGGATCAATGCTTTCTATCCTCCAATCCAATCAATTTGACAGCCAGTATTAACCATCACATTAAGTATTTTAATTTTTGTACCTTTTGCTTATGCAGAAGAAACGTTGGATGAAATTCAACATTCATTATGATGAAAACTCTCAACAAATTAGGAATAGAAGTTATGTTTCTCAACACAATAAAGGCCATTTATGACAAAGCAATGCTAACATTATACTGAATAAGGAAAAGCTGAAAGCTTTCTCTCTGAGATCCGGAACAAGACTAATCATCCCCACTTTCAGACCTCTTATTCAACATAGTACTGGAAGTCTTAGCCAAGGACATTATGCAAGAGGTAGAAATAAACTCATACTAATAGGAAAGGATGAAGTCAAATGGTCTCTGATTGTGGACAAAATAATCTTATATGTGAAAAACTCTAAACACTACACCAAAACCTAATAGAACTACTAAACAAATTCTGTAACATTGCAGAAAATCAACAGAGTAGCAGCTTTCTGTATGCTGATAGCAAAATATCTGAAAAATAAAGTTTAAAATTCCATTTTAATAACTAACAAAAATTAGTTATTTTGAGTTTATTTCTTTATATGAGGTGGAGTCTTTCTCTGTCACCAGGCTGAAGCACAGTGGTGTGATCTCCGCTCACTGAAACTCTTGCCTCCCGGGTTCCAGAGATTCTCCTGCCTCAGCCTCCTGAGTGGCTGGAACTATAGGCGTGTGCCACCACCGCCAACTAATTTTTGTTTGTATTTTTAGTAGAGACGTGGTTTCCCCATGTTGGCTAGGATGGTCTTGATCTCCTGACCTTGTGATTCACTTGCCTCAGCCTCCCAAAGTGCTGGGATTACAGGTGTGAGCCACCACACCCGGCCTTGAGTTTATGTTTTTATTGGTGCAAGGTAAGGTGTAACTTTGTTATTTTTTCCTTGTAAATTTTTATTATTCTCAATACTGTTTGTTGAAGAGACTGTTCTTTCCTTATTGTGAATTCTTGGAACAGTTTTTAAAAATAAGTTTACTAAACCCATGATGTCTTATGTCCGAACACTCATCTGTTTCATCATTCATTTGTCTTTCTGTCAGTACCAAACAGTTTTGATTACTATACCTTTATAGTATGTTTTGAAATTAGAAAGTATGATGCCTCTATCTTTATATTTTTTTCCCAATATTATTTGGCTGTTTGCAATCACTTGAAATTCCATAAAAATTATAGAATATTTTAAAACTTCTGCAAAAAGTTTCATTGGTATTTTGATAGAAAGTATATTGAATCAACTAGGGGTGGTGGCTCATGCCTGTAATCCCAGCACTTTGGGAGGCTGAGGAAGGTGGATCACCTGAGGTCAGGAGTTCGAGACCAGCCATGGAGAAACCCCATCTCTACTAAAAATACAAAATTAGCCAGGTTTGGTGGCACTTGCCTGTAATCCCAGCTACTCAGGAGGCTGAGGCAGGAGAATGGCTTGAACCCAGGAGGTGGAGGTTGCAGTGAACTGAGATCACACCATTGCACTCCACCCTGGGCAACAAGAGCAAAAACCCATCTCAAGATAAAAAGAAAGAAAAGAAAAGAAAGAGCATTGAATCAGTTAACCACTTTCGGTAGTAGTGACATGTTAACAATATTAAGTCTATAACCTCTTGAACAAGAGTGTGTTTGAGAATTTGTTGTTTAATTTTTACTTATTCTTTGACATGCTAGTGTTTTTAACTTCTTGTTTTATTGTATCATAGTTAGCAATAATTTTGTAATTCCATCTGCTTAAATTTGCTAAGATTCATCTTTTAACTTAACAGGTGGTCTATCTGGAATATTGTGGCATGTGTGATTAAAAGTATTGCAGATTCTACTGTTGAGTGGAGAAATATAAATGTGACTGTTAGGTCTAATTGTCCTATCGTGTTGTTGAAATCCTCTGTTTACTTATCCATCTTATGTTTGTTTTTTAATTTACATTACTAAAAGTCAGATATAAAAGTCATTTACTGTTATCAGGTGCTGGCTACTTCATGTTTCAATTCTGTAAAATGTTGCTTCATATGTTTGGGAACTGTGATGTAAGGCACATGCGTTACTGTTGTTGCTTTTATTGTTGTATGTTGTTTTAATGTTTTTGCTTTTATTGTTGTATGTTGCTTTATTGTTGTTGCTTTTATTGTTGTTGTTTTTATTGTCCTTTTCCTCTTGTCTCTTGAGGAAGTTTTTGATATAATATGTATTTTGTCTACCATGACAGTATTTGATTTTGCATTTAATATTTTTTATTATTCTTTCATGTACAGGTTATATGTGTTCCAGATCATAATTTGGTTATTTGTAGGAAGCAGAGAGTTGAATCTTGTTTCATGAATTTATTTAGTGAAAGTATGTTTTTGATTGACATAATTGATTTATATAAAAAAAATTACTAAAAGGGAATGATTTCGTATTGCATTTTGTTTCTTTTTTGTTTTAGGTCCTGCAGCATTTTTTTTTTTTTTTTTGAGACGGAGTCTCTCTCTGTCGCCCAGGTTGGAGTGCAGTGGTGAGATCTTGGCTCAAAGTAAGCTCCGCCTCCCGGGTTCATGCCATTCTCCTGTCTCAGATTCCCCAGCAGCTGGGATTGCCGGAGCCTGCCACCACGCCCGGCTATTTTTTTTTTTTTTTTTTTTTTTTTTTTGGTAGAGACGTGGTTTCACCGTGTTAGCCAGGATGGGCTCGATCTCCTGACCTCGTTGATCCACCCACCTCGGCCTCCCAAATTGCTAGGATTACAAGCGTGAGCCACCGCCCCTGGCCGGTCCTGTAGCTATTTCGTTCCTGTTTTTCTCTCTTGTTCTCTTTCTTAGTGTACTATTGATTTTTGTAGTGACATGTTTTAATTCTTTTCTCACTACTCTCTGTGTGTGTATGTCTTTCTGTGTGTGTACTATAGGTATTTCCTTTTTTTTTTTGACAGGGTCTTGCTCTGTCACCCAGGCTGGAGTGCAGTGGCACAATCTCTGCTTACTCAAGCTCTGCCTCTCAGGCTCAACTCAAACAATCCTCCCACCACAGCCTTCTGAGTACCTGGGACCACAGATGTGCACCACTACTCCTGGCTAACAGTTGTTATTTTGCATAGAGACAGGGTTTTTCCATGTTACCCAGACTAGTCTCAAAATCCTAAGAACTGTAGGTATTTTCTTTGTTGTTACTATAGATATTACCAAGAATAACTACTATTACATATAAAACCCTGCCTCTTTATGGCTCCCTATGTGTTTTATTGATGTCACAAATTATATCATTTTGTGTTGTGAATCTGTTGGCACAGATTTATAGTCATTTTTAAATCTTTGTTGTCTCAAATATATAGCAGAATTAAAGTATTCTGTGCATCTTCATTATAATTACAAAGAATATTATGATTGTGTACATAATTTTCTCTATTAGAAAATGTCATATTTTACATAATTTTGTGTTGCTCTCATCATTATTTCATTTTTTAATGTGAATGACTATTTAGCATTTTTTAAGACAGGCCTAGTGGGTATAAATTTATACAGTTTTTGTTGATCTTGAATATTCTTTATTTTTATTTTTTAATTCATTTGAAATGATAGTTTTGGCAGACATAGTGTTCTTGGCTGGTAGTTGCCATTTTTTCAGCACTTTGAGTATGTCATCCTACAACCTCTTACCTGTAAGTTTTTTTGCTGAGACATCTGCTGGTCATCCTGCAGGGGTAAACTTGTACATGCTAAGTCACTTTTTTCTTGCTGACTTCAAGATTCTCGGTGTTTTAACTTTTGAATCTCTGATTATAATGTGTCTTGTCATGGGTCTCCCTGTGTTGTTACTAGTTAGAGTTGGTAAAGTTTCATTAAATTTTAGGTCATTTTCTCCCTCAAATTCTGAGTTCTCTGTCACTGTTTGTTTCTTGAAATAATTTTGCTGCTCTCTTTTCTCTTTTTATTTTAGAATTCCCATTATGAGTATATTGGCCATCTTAATGGTATCCTATAATTCCCTTAGGCTCTCTTAATTTTTTAAATTATTTTTAGCCTCCTCACCCTATAATTTCAAATGACTTCTTATGAGGCTTGCTGTATTTTTTCCTGCTAGATCAAACCTGTTGTTGGACTTTCTAGTGAATCTCTAAACTCAGGTATTTTACTTTTCAGCTCTACACTTTGTTTCTATTTTGCACTTTTAATCACTTCTTTGATAATCTCATTATCTTCATGCATTGTTTTCTTTTTCTGTTTAGTTTTCTATATTCTTCTTTAGCTGACTGAGCATCTTTAAGCTAGGTGTTTTAGCCAGGCACAGTGACACGTGCATGTGACTCCAGCTACTTTGAAAGCTAAGGCAAGAGGGCTACTGTATTAATCCATTATCATGCTGATAATAAGGACATAAACAAGACTATGTAATTTATCATGAAAAAAGTTTTAATGGCCTCTCAGTTTCACATGGTTAGGGAGGTCTCACCATTATTGGAACAAGCAAGAGACCGTTCAGGGGAACCTCCACTTATAAAACCATCAGATCACATGAGACTTATTTGTTATCATGAGAACAGCATGGGAAGATCCCACCCCCATGATTCAATTACCTCCCACAGGGTCCCTCCCAGGACATGTGGGGATTATTACAATTTAAGATGAGATTTGATTGGGGACACAGAGCCAAACCCTGTCAATTACTTAAATCCAGGAGTTTGACACTACCCCGGGCAATATTGTGACAAGCTATTGGTAAAAAATATTTTCACAGATTACTCAGGCATTGTGGAATGTTCCTGTAGTCTCAGGAAGTTGGAGGCTGACGTAAGATTATTCCTTGAGTTCCCCAGGAACTTGAGGCTGCATTGAGCTATAATCATGGTATTGTATTCCTGTCTGGGTGAGAGAGTAAGACCTCTTTTTAGAATTTCAAATTTATTTTAGATTTAGGAGGTACCTACACAGGTTTTTTACATGGGTATTTTGCATAATGCTGAGGTTTGAAGTATGAGTAATTCCATCAATCAGGTAGTGAGCATAGTACTAAGTAGACAGTTTTTCAGTTCTTGGTCCCTCCCTCTCTCCACCCTCTAAGAGTTGTCTATTATTTTTGTTTTTCTGTCCATGTGTACCCAGTGTTAATTTCCATTTATAAGTGAGAATATGCAGTATTTTCATTTTCCATTTCTGCATTAATTTGCTTTGTATAATGGCCTTTTGTTGTGTTAACGTTGCTGCAAAGGAGGTTTTTTTTGTTTGTTTTTGCTAAGTAGTATTGCTGTACATGTGACACTTTTTAAATTCAATTTACCATCAATAGGCTGGACATGGTGGCTGATGCCTGTAATCCCAGTGCTGTGGGAGGCCAAGGCGGGTGGATCATGAGGTCAGGAGATCGAGACCATCCTGGACAACGTAATGAAACCCCGTCTGTACTGGAAATACAAAAGTTAGCCAGGCTTGGTGGCATGCGCCTATAGTCCCAGCTACTCGGGTGGCTGAGGAAGGAGGATTGCTTGAACCTGGGAAGTGGAGATTGTAGTGAGTTGAGATCGTGCCACTGCACTCCAGCCTGGGCAACAGAGTGAGACGTCATCTCAAAAAAATAAAAAATTACCATGAATAGGCACGTAGGTTGATTCAGGTCCTTCCTCTTATGAATAGTGTAGTGATGAACCAACAAGTGCATGTGCTATTTTGGTAGAATAGTTTATTCTCTTTTGGGTATATACCCAGCGGTGAAATTGCTGGGTTGAATCACAGTTTAACTCTCAGTTATTTGGAAAATCTCCAAGCTGCTCTCCACAGTGGCTGAACTAATTTACATTCCTATTAACAGTGTATAAGTGGTTTTTTCCCTCTAAAACCCCATCAACATCTATTATCATTTTACTTTTTAACAAAAACCATTCTAACTGGTGTACAATGGTGTCTTATTGTGGTTTTTATTTACATTTCCTTGATGGTTAGTGATGATAAGCTTTTTTCATGTTATTTGGCCACTTGTATGTGTTCTTTTGAAGAGTGTCTGTTATTGCCCACTTTTTCATGGGGTAATTTTTTCCTTGTGAATTCTTTAAGTTTCTTATAGATTCTGAGTATTAGATTTTGTCAGGTTCATAGGTTATGAATATTTTTGCCATTCTGCTAGCTTTGGGGTAAGTTAGTTTTTATTTTTCTAGTTTCTCTAAGTGTGATGTTAAATTGTTAGTTTGAGATCATTCTAACTTCTTGATGCAGGTATTTAGCACTCTCAACTTTCCTCTTAACAGAGCTCTTCCTACAACCCAGACATTTTGTTATATTGTGTCTCTTCTATTTCAAAATCTTTTTAATTTTCTGCCTTAATTTTTTTGTTTATCCAAAATTCATTCAGGAGCAAGTTGTTTAATTTCAATATCATTCTGTGATTTTGTGAGATTTTCTTGGTATTGATTTTTATCTTTGTTCCATTGTGGCCTGTCATATTCTGTGAGCAGATGAGAAGAATTTACTTTCTTTAGATGATGTGTTGCATATACTATAAATGTCTATTAGTTTCATTTGATCAAGTGTCGAATTAAACTCCAGAATTTCTTTGTTAAGTTTCTGCCTAGATAATCTGTCAAACACTTAGTGGGGAGTTACATTCCCCTACTATTATTGTGTGTCTACTTGAGTCTTATTGTCGGTCTAGCAGTAATTGTTGTATAACTCTATGTTCCCCAAAGTTGGGTGCATCTACATTTACGATAGTTAAGTCTTCTTGTTGAATTGAACCCTTTATCGTTACGCAATACCTTTCTTTGTTTTATTTTACTATTAATGATTTAAAGCTATTTTTTCTTAAAAGAGAAACAATTCCAGGTATGGTAGCTTGTGCCAGCACTTTCAGACTGAAGCAGTCGGATTGCCTGAGACCAGGAGTTTGAGACCAGCCGAGGCAACACAGCAACATACTGTTTGTACAAATTTTTTTAAAGAAACTATACAGGAGGGGTAATGTGCACAACTGTGGTCATATTTACTCAGGAGACATAGGTGGCATGACTGCTTGACTTCCGAAATTTGAGGTTACAGTGAGCTGTGATTCCACCAGTGTACTCTGTCCCAGGAGATAAAGTAAGATCCTCTGCATAAAATGAAAAAGTAAAGAAAAATAAAAAGATTTTAAGTTAAAAAAATAATTCCTAGATCTCCACTTCTTTAGGTTCACTTGAATATATATTTTTCTCCTTTGATTAAGTTATATTTCCTGGTTGCTTTTACTTACTGTAGTTTTGTTAAGGTTTTGATCAATTAAGAAACCACTACCTATTTTATCCTTTATGAAAGAGCTTTATACATGGGAAAATTGACAACATTCAGCCACAGTAGTCATACTGGGAGCTTCTCCAATCTGTTGTCAAAATGTGTCTTCTTTGGACTACTGTATGTATTTTCTTGTTAATAAGGTTTACCTCTGTTTCCTCTTAGGAGCCTTTAGTCTCTTCCCTTCGTCACTGTTGTAGGCACTACAGTCTCTGTTGTTGTAAGAAGCATTTATCTTTATTCTCAGTTGACCCAAGCTGTCATTTAAACTCAGTCTCTATTCTCATCAACACTAAATGTTAAAGGAAGCAATTTCCAGTCTTTAGATAACCCCGGTATAACTCAGTAAGTCAGAAGTTTGCATACGCATTTCACTCTTTTTTCTTTCCCAAAGGAGAATCATGGAATGGACAGATTTTTATCTAACTGCGCTGTTCTGTAGTGCACAAATGTGACCAAATTTTCTTCAAAATGTGGTTATGGTTGGCTTTTTTCTCATGTGGGGTGCTACAAACTCAACTGGCTTTGTTCACCCAATTGTAGTTAAGTTCATATGTCAATGGAGAGAAACAGGATCTCAGGTTCTGCTTCAACTGTCATTGTCTTCTCAGCTGACCTCATTTTGTACATTAGATTTATAAAATATATTTACTTTAATCTCATCACCGAATTTTTAAAAAAATTATTATTTTTCAGCTCTTTTAGCAATATATCCAATCAAGACCCAGAGAAAACAGTACATAGAAGCTTCTTTTCAAAAAGTAATATTGGGAAGATATGGGAGCTCTGGCCTTGAACTTTTACACTTAGGAGAGTGGGAAATTGAAGGATAAGTGTAAACGGCACAAAGTATGCTATGATGAATATACCAGATACACAGCAATTACCTACAGCAAAAATGTCACTGCTAGAAGAGCTCAAAACCATAAAGTATTTTGGAAAAAGCATAATTAATGTTGATTCTTTTTTCTGAACTATATATTTATATAATTACATACCAATAACAATTTTTGAAACATATCATGTTTTTGAAACAAAATTTAGAAAATCGCAATAGTGGCCTAGGCCAGGAATATTTCTTCTAATGCTATCCCTCCCATAGTCCCCCACTTCCCGACAGGCTCCAGTGTGTGATGTTCCCCTTCCTGTGTCCGTGTGTTCTCTTTGTTTAACTCCCTATTATGAGTGAGAACATGCGATGTTAGCTTTTCTACTCTTGTGTTAGTTTGCTGAGAATGGTGGTTTCCAGCTTCATCCATGTCCCTGCAAAGGACATGAACTCATCCTTTTTATGACTGCATCGTATTCCATGATGTGGACATGCCAAGTTTTCTTTATTCAGTCTATCATTGATGGTCATTTGGTTTGTTTCAAAGTTTTTGCTCTTGTGAACAGTGCCATAATAAACATACGTATGCATGTATCTTTATAATAGAATAATTTATAATCCTTTGGGTATATACCCAGTAATGTGATTGCTGGGTCAAATGGTATTTCTCATTGTGGATCCTTGAGGAATCACCACACTGTCTTCCACACTGGTTGAACTAATTTACACTCTCACCAACAGTGTATAAGTCTTCCTATTTTTCCACATCCTTTGTTGTTTCCTGATTTTTTTAATGATCACCATTCTAACAGGTGTGGGATGGTTTCTCATTGTGTTTTTGATTTGCATGTGTCTAATAACCAGTGATGATGTCCTTTTCTTCATTTGTTTATTGGCTGCATAAATGTCTCCTTTTGAGAAGTGTCTGTTCAAATCCTTTGCCCATTTTCGATGTTGTTGTTTCTTTTTTTCTTGTAAATTTGTTTAAGTTCTTTGTAGATTCTACATATCAGCCCATTGTCAGATGGATAGATTGCAGAAATTTTCTCCCATTCTTTAGGTTGCCTGTTCACTCTGATATAGTTTTTTTTGTTGTGCAGAAGCTCTTTAGTTTAATTATATCTCGTTTGTCAATTTTGGCTTTTGTTGCCATTGTTTTTGGTGTTGTAGTCATGAAGTCTTTGCCCATGCCTATGTCCTGAATGGTACTGCCTTGGTTTTCTTCTGGGGTTTTTATGGTTTTAAGTCTTATGTTTAAGTCTTTAATCCATCTTCAGTTATGTTTTGTATAACGAGAAAGGAAGAAGTCCAGTTTCAGTTTTTTGCATATGGCTAGCTAGTTTTCCAACACCATTTATTAAATAGGGAATCCTTTCCCCATTACTTGTTTTTGTCAGGTTCATCAAAGATCAGATGATTCTAGATGTTGAGTGTTATTTCTGAGGCCTCTGTTCTGTTCCATTTGTCAATATATCTGTTTTGGTACGAGTACCATCCTGTCTTGGTTACTGTGGCCTTTTAGTATAGTTTGAAGACAGCTAGCATGATGCCTCCACCTTTGTTCTTTTTGCTTAGTATTGTCTTGTCTATGCAAGACCTTTTTTGATTCCATATGAAATTTGAAGTAGTTTTTTTTCTAATTCTGTGAAGAAAGTCAATGGGAGCTTGATGGGGATAGCAATGAATTTATAAATTACTTTGGGCAATATGGCCATTTTCATAATATTGATTCTTCCTATCCATGAGCATGGATTGTTTTCGTTTGTTTGTGTCCTCTTTCATTTCCTTGAGCAGTGGTTTGTAGTTCTCCTTGAAGTGGTCCTTTACATCATTTTTAAGTTGGATTCCTAGGTATTTTATTCCCTTTGTAGCAATTGTGAATGAGAGTTAACACATGATTTGGCTCTCTGTTTGCCTATTATTGCGTATAGGAATGCTTGTGATTTTTGAACATTGATTTTGTATCCTGAGACTTTGCTGAAGTTGCTTATCAGTTTAAGGAAATTTTGGGCTGAGATGGTAGGGTTTTCTAGATATACAATCATGTCATCTGCAAACAAAGACAATTTGACTTCTTCTCTTCCTATCTGAATACGCTTTATTTCTTTCTTTCTTTGGCTGATTGCCAGAACTTCCAATACTATAATGAATAGGAGTGGGGAGAAAGGGTGTTCTTGTCTTGTGCAGGTTTTCAAAGGGAATGCTTCCAGTTTTTGCCCATTCAGTATGATATTAGCTGTGCATTTGTCATAAATAACTCTTATTATGTTGAGATAGGTTCCATCAATACATAATTCATTGAGAGTTTTTACCATGAAGAGGTGTGGAATTTTATTGAAGGCCTTTTTTGCATCTATTGAGATAATCATGTGGTTTTTGTCATTAGTTCTGTTTATGTGATAGATTTTATTTATTGATTTGCATATGTTGAACCAGCTTTGTATCCCAGGGATTAAGCTGACTAGATCGTGGTGGATAAGCTTTTTGATGTGCTGCTGGATTCGGTTTGCCAGTATTTTATTGAGGATTTTCGCATCGATATTCATCAGGGATATGGGCCTGAAATTTTCTTTTTCTGGTGTGTCTTTGCCAGGTTTTGGTTTCAGGATGATGCTGGCCACATAAAATGAATTAGGGAGGAGTACCTCTTTTTCTATTGTTTGAAATAATTTCAGAAGGAATGGTACCAGCTCCTCTTTGTACCTTTGGTAGAATTCGGCTGTGAATCCGTCTGGTCCTGGACTTCTTTTTGTTGGTAGGCTACTAATTACTGCCTCAATTTTAGAACTTGTTATTGGCCTATTCAAGGATTCGACTTCCTACTGGTTTGCACTTGGGAGGGTATATGTGTCCAGGAATTTATCCATTTCATCTAGATTTTCTAGTTAATTTGCAAAGAGGTATTTATAATATTCTGTAATGATACTTTTTATTTCTGTGGGATCAATGGTTATATCCCCTTTATCATTTCCTATTGCATGTATTTGATTCTTCTCTTCTTCCTTATTAGTCTGGCTAGAAGTTTATTTATTTTCTTGATCTTTTAAAAAAACCAGCTCCTGGATTCATTGATATTTTGGACGGGCTTTTTGTGTCTCTATCTCCTTCAGTTCTGCTCTGATCTTAAATCTTGTCTTCTGCTAGTTTTTGAATTTGTTTGCTCTTGCTTCCCTAGTTTTTTTAATTGTGATGTTACGGTGTCGATTTTAGACATTTTTCTGCTTTCTCTTGTGGGGATTTAGTGCTGTAAATTTCCCTTTCAGACTACTTTAGTTGTGTCGTATTTTACTTTTTAAGCCCTCAATCTTTCTTTTTCATCATGATAGTCTTTACTGTTTTATGTTTATGTAATGTAAAATTGACTACACAATTTTTACAAAGATTTTATGAAAATATTTTATTGAGAATGTACAAACCTGTCAGTCAATTAGAGGAGAAGTTACACTGTCATAATAAATAGCCACAAAGCAAAACCCCAAAAGACATCCAAATCAGAATAAAACAAAACATTTTAACAAAAACAAAAAGAACAAACTGGCAACAAATATGTGAAGTTTATATTACAAAGATGCTCACTTATCCACTCTAAAGAGAGCTTTTAGAATTTGATTTAAAATACGGCAAAGACATTATCCCACACTTCACAGAAAAAATAAATTTAAGCAGCTGTTAACACATGAATGTATTATCAAGCTCAGATATAATCAAAATTAAATATTTGACAAGAGATTCTACAGTTTGGGAGAAATAGAAGTGTTTTTTTTCTTTTCCCCAGGCCCACAAGTCTAGTTTCTTGCTCTTCTTCACTATAATGGGGTTTGTCATCAGCTCCCCAAAATATGGGAAGCACAGAGCAGGTGGTGGCTGAAGGTGGGGTATCCTGTGAAACCATATTTAAGATCAGAGCCCTTGGTCCATTGTGTTGTAATCAGCTGGCTCAGGAAAGAACACCTGGCTGTCCAGAGCTCTACACCTACTGCACTGGGTGTGAAAGGAGGCCTGAGAACCCATGGGTCCCAAACCCACCCCACTCCAAATTATCATCCAGTATTGAGAACTCTGACACCAAATTCTCACAGAGCATATGTTTATGCAGTTTTACATTTAATTTCTCATTACATTACAATTGGGAAACTGAGGCCCCAGAAGAGGCAGAGACTGGTCCAGATCTCAGGAGGTGGGCAGGCTCCAGAGCATTAGAGAGGGCTCCAGCTTCCTAGGCCTTGGCACCGTCCCACTTATCAGGTTTGTTTTCGAAATTAGAGTCTGTAGCTACACATTCAGGAGCACAGAAAATGAGCAGATTCAGGGTTCTGTTCACATGGGGTCCTCTCCATGTCAGTTTCAAGATAACAGGACTGGGGTTCTGCATCCAGCTCTGAGGGCAACTGGAAGTAAAATGAGCTATGCTCCACCTCAGCCTAATGTAGACAGTGCCTACAGGAAAGCCTGTTTTCTTCCTCATAAATAGGGGTGCCTGAAGTGGGTGACCTTGATGATTTCACATACTCATAAGTGTCTGCCAGCCTGGATTCTTGCTCTGAGACTGCAAAAATGCACCCACTCTGCAGATCCTTCAAATCAGAGGGAGGCATGGCCACTTGAGAGGCATCTTGGGTAGATGAAGATGAGACAGAGTTAAATGTGCCAGAGCACTGGACTCTGAGGCTGAGGTCCACGGAAAATCTCAGCTACTGTTGCGTTCTTAAGGTCCTCATTTGAAAGTGGTAGAAAATAATTTCACTGGATAAGGGGAGGATACCTCATGAGTAAATAGCACAACCAAAAAGGTGGAGGCAAAGAGAGGGCAAAACGGGATTCCTAGGTCACTCATTATACTTGGGGCCTTCAGATCCTGCTACTTTATCCCCTAGGACCTTGAAGAACCAGTGTCTTGAGGACAGAAAAATCAAGGTATCAGATTTGTTCGGTAGTGCTCCTGCTTGGGGCTGTAGGGTTAGTGATGGCCAGGAGGTGGTTACAGCCTACTGTGTTTCTGGTGCCCACTGAGCTTTGCTGGAGCAGCTGGAACAAGTAACAGTCACACAACTCATGTTGTTATCAGTGATGTCCACATTATCAGGTGGTCAAAAGGGGAAGGGATATTAGAGATCCTCCATATAATCACTTAGCCAGTCTTTTTTCCCTTGCGCTCACCATTTGCCAGTGACCCTGGTGGGTCCAACATGTGGTACAGAAAATTATTACATCATGTCTGCACCCCCCAACCCAGGACCAAACAGTCTGAGGACCGCTGGACAAAAGCACTAAAGCAAGTATATGTGAAAGAAAAGAGCAAGGACTATAATATAAAGTAGATTATTGAGAAGAAAACCTGGAAAATTATTGCATGGGAGGAACTCAGGCGTCACTGAGGTGACTTTTAATCCATGATGAGGATGACAGCAGGGAGGCATCTGCACAAGCATGTGTCAGGGAGAAGCCACCCTTAGTGAAAAAACTCATAGGTGTGAGTTTGGCAGAGGTAAAAAGGGACTAGTTTGGCTGCAGACAGCCTGAGAAAGAGATAAGCAGAGGGATGGAGAATCCTAGGGCCTGGGAGATGAGGTTAGATATCTGCTCCTTTCTGACAACATTGCCCTAAAAGTCAGCACTTTTCAACAACATATAATATCTCATAATTTGTGTGGACCAGAATCTGGACACAGTTCAGCTGGCTACCTCTGCCTTCAGGTCTTTTATGAGACTGGGGGCTGTGGTCTTAACTGAAGCTGGACTGGGAAAGCATGAGCCTTTAAGCTGACTCATGTGAAAATTGACAGGGTTTAGTGTGGCTGGAGAGCCTGACTTTCCTTCTCTCTACTCGTCTGAGCACCCCCTCACCCTTTGTTATGTGGGTCTCTACATGGAGCATCTCATAGCATTGGAGCTTGCTTCCTGTGTTTGAGGAATACAATAGACAGAATTAGACAAAAAGGTTTACACAAAAAGAGACAGAAAGATCGAGGGCGCAAACGAGAAAAACCCAGTAGGAGAAAAATTAGAGCTTTAAAAACATCTTGACAGGGTGCGGTGGCTCACACCTGTAATCCCAGCACTTTGGGATGCTGAGACGTGTGGATCGCCTGAGGTCAAGGGTTTGAAACCAACCTGGACAACATGGTGAAACCACCGTCTCTTCTAAAAATACAAAATGAGCCAGATGTGGTGGCGCATGCCTGTAATCCCAGCTACTTGGGAGACTGAGGCAGGAGAATCAATTGAACCTGGGAGGCAAAGGTTCCAATAAGCCGAGATCACACCACTGCACTCCAGCCTGGGATACAAGAGTGAAACTGTGTCTCAAAAAAAAAAAAAAAAAAAAAAGAAAGAAAGAAAGAAAGAAAAAAAACTTGAGAGTTACTATAATTTTTCTTCTATATTTGTGTTAAAATTGTAACCCCGGGCGTAACGCTATAAGGAGGTAGAAAGTAATTAACCCCTTAGGGTGGGACCCTCATAATACAGATTACTGGCTTTATACAAGAAACCGCAGAGGGCTCTCATCCTCCTGCAAAATGAGGGTAAAACCTGAAGTGTGCAGGCTGAAATTCAGAAGCCAGTCATCACCAGATCTCAACCATGCTGACACCCTGATCTCAAATTTGAACCTCTGGAGGTATGAGAAATTAAGTCCTGTTGTCTATATGCTGCCTATCTATGGTTCTTTGGCATAGCAGCCTGAACTAATACAAAAGGGATATCCTTTTCTGTGTTTCATTGGAGAGAAGCTGAATTTGTACCCCCTATACTGTTAAAAAAAAGACTTAAAAAATGGATCTTCAGAATGAAAGATAGGAAACGGCTTGTTGAAACACTAAAATTTTAACTGCTATAAGTTTTTTAAACATTGGCTGAAATTGTTGGAACCAATATGGCCAACTGAAGTCCATGAAGCATCAGTTTGCAGACTTTGGAGCCCAAATTTCCATTGTGTGCTTCATACTAACTCTCCCTGAATTTGTATGTGACCTGTGAGGAAACAAGAAGAGATGACTGTATATGTCTCATGACTTTCCATATTCCTACTTTCCTTCCAGCAATCCCCTACAGAACCCACCTATTAGGCCTTTTCTAATCACTGCCTTAAAGCCAGTATGACAAAACAAATTTGATTTGAACTCCTATCTCCTTGTTAGCCAACATACAAGATGATATTTTCCTCAAAACCGAAGGGCCATAGTACTGGCATCAGGAAGTATTCCATTTTATTCAATAAAAAACTGAGTCACTCAATACCTAGTACTGGGAGACTTTGTGAAGACTTCCTCTGTCATAGATGTGATAAGGCACATGGAAATGATTCTAAATATAAAGAGAAAGCACTAGAAAGTTGAATTCCTGTATTAGATCATTCTCATACTGCAATGATGGAGTACCTGAGACTGGGTAACTTATAAAGTAAAGAAGTTTAATTGACTCACATTTCCACATAATTGTGGGGGCACCTCAGAAACCTTCCAATTACAGTGGCTGACAAGTGAAGTGAGTGAGAGCATGGGATGTACCAGATGCTTATGAAACTATCAGATCTCGTGAGAACTCACTATCACAAGAACAGCATGAGGAGAACCCGTCCCCATAATCCAATCATCTCCCCTCAGGTTTTCCCTTAACACCTAGGGGTTATAATACACAATGAGTTTTGGGTGGGGACGCACAGCTAAACTATATGAATGCCAGAGGACAGTATCTACATTTAATTTCAACTTCATACTGGAGCAGAATGAAAATGAGGCCCAGTGGAGAAGTGATATTTCCAAGATCACCCTGGCAGACACCAGGCCTGTTTGAGTTGTGGCCCATGCTACCTCCCACCTATTCTCCTAATGCTTCCATCTCTAAGTGTGTGCATTATCTACAGGTGACACTACATCATTATTTTTATGTCTTATCTTTTTTTTTTTTTTTTTTTTTGAGACGGAGTCTCGCTCTGTCGCCCAGGCCGGACTGCGGACTGCAGTGGCGCAATCTCGGCTCACGGCAAGCTCCGCTTCCCGGGTTCACGCCATTCTCCTGCCTCAGCCTCCCGAGTAGCTGGGACTACAGGCGCCCGCCACCGAACCCGGCTAATTTTTTGTATTTTTAGTAGAGACGGGGTTTCACCTTGTTAGCCAGGATGGTCTCGATCTCCTGACCTCATGATCCACCCGCCTCGGCCTCCCAAAGTGCTGGGATTACAGGCGTGAGCCACCGCGCCCGGCCACTGTCTTATCTTATATACACCTAACACATTCCCTAGGAAGTAGATGTTAGCATCATCACCACTGTGCATGTTAGGAGGCTGGGGAAGCCTTGAATACAGTGACTTTTACTGGGTCCCAGAGATGGTAAGAAAAACAAAGTTATGTTCCAGCTGTCTCTTCTCTCCTGGAACCCAGGTTGCATTTAGGTCTTTCCAGGGAATTAAGGGGAAGTTGTGTTTGCATAATTGTGTACAAATAAAGAGTTGACATGGAAGAGGAGACTGAGCAATCAGTAGCATAGTGGGGCCTTTCGGTATGTCTTACAGAAACATAGGGCCCAGTAGATGGAACCTTGAAGAGTTTAACACACTTTCTTGGTGTCAGAACCCAACAGCAGTTAAGAAACCAGGAATCCACATTCTTGAGACAGCTCTGTATCCACCTCTGTTTGTGAGAGTTGCTCAAGAGAGTGAGATGCTCTTTCATTGTGCCCTGAAATTTCTGAGTTTCAGCCTTACAAAGGCTCAATGTAAAAGTCTTATCTGATAACACAGATGTCAACTGAGCCCTCATCACTGATGTCCCTGGCTATTGGCCGGGTGCACCTACAAATAACACAGGGCAGCCCAGGACAGGCCCCTCCAAGCCAGCCTCTCTTGTCAACTCATCTGGGCAGTCCCACACCACTTCTTAGTACCATGAGTTGGATGGGGAGCAAGAGGGAGGGCACTCTTCTTGGACTGAAGTAGATTGTCGGGTGTTGGAACTCTTGTGTACCTGTCATGTTCATACCTAGGCCATAGCTGGCAGAATAAAAAGAAGAGGGTTGGAGAATGAGTCTGTGTACTCAGATGTGAATTCCAAGACTTTAACTTGTCCTCTGGTTTCCTTCCTTCATGGAGATTTATACAGATTCTCCTTATGTGCCTTATCTGAAGAGCAGAATTTCTTTTATTTTCTTTTTTCTTTTTTCCTTTCTTCTTTTCTCTTTTCTTTTCTTTCTTTCTTTCTTCTTTCTTTCTTTTTTTTCTTTCTCTTTCTTTCTTTCCATCTCTCTCTTTCTTTCTTTCTTTCCTTCTCTCTCTCTTTCTTTTTTATTTATCATGAAGTCTCACTCTGTTACCCAGGCTGGAGTGCAGAGAAAAGCAGAATTTCTAATGGAGGTGTCACATACGGTCAAAGCAAGGCAGAACACAGACTTTTCTTTGCGTGGTTTCTAGGCACATTTACAAAGCTGCATTCAGATTGATGAGGAGCTTCATCATTCAGTTTAATGTGGCCAACTCCTCCCTCTTTTTGGAAAAAGAGCAGGTGCACTAAACCAGCAAACACAGCCAGCACTGGGCTGTGCTGAGAGCAGCCACATAGGGGTCTCTACAGACAGAAACCCGAGAAGACCGGGAAAGAACCAGGACCCAGACTCAAATATGAAAAATCTCTGGGCTTTGTCCTACGGCCTTCCCATGAGTAACTCATAGCCTTGTTCCAGTGGAATCTGGCCTTCACTAGTCTCAGTGGCAATTTGGTTATGTGGAAAGTCTCTCTTCACACACTTGTGCGAATAACGATAAAGAATTTTGTATTGTTTTCACTCTACATTAGACCATGAGTATTTATGCCTGTGGCTGCAGTTTGTATTAGTTTCCGGCCCCAGGTATCTCCTGCAGCATGCAGCTTCAGTCCTATCGGACCCTCAAAACTTAAAAGCTAACACTATTACTAGGGAGGATTTCGCAGGAAAATGGTGAGAGGGTTACACACAAAAAAGGTTAAACTACTCTATGCATGTTTCTGCAATGTGTTATCTCAGGAACTCATTTCTGTAGCCCATCAGGGCAGGAGCTGGGCTCTCACCTGTTGATAATATTCCATAAGGGAGGTTCTTCCCCACAGTGTTTAGTCTTCCAACGCTGGTACAGCCTGACATGATGACATTCTACTTTCATGTCGGTCATGCTGCAGGGAAAATTCTGTGAGTGTCCTAATAGGCTGGAATCATTTGCTAGGGTGAACCCCATCTTTGGTGCTCACTTTTCTGTTATCTTGTAATTAGCTTTATTCTCAGCAAATCCATGTCTATTTTATTTATCTGTTTATTTACTTATTTTTATGTATGGAAAAACACTTTTTTTTATTTACTTATTTATTTAGAGACAGGGTCTCCGTCTGTTACCCAAGCTGGAGTACAGTGGTAGAGTGCTGTGATCATGGCTCATTGCAGCTTCAAACTCTTGGGCTCAAATGATTCTCTCACCTCAGCCTCCTGTGCCACCATGCCCTGCTAGTTGATTTTAATTTTTTATAAAGAAGGAGACTCATTAGGCAGCCCAGGCTGGTCTCAAACTCCTGGGCCCAAGCAATTCTCTCATCTCAGCCTCCCAAAGCACTGGGATTAAAAACATGAGCCACTGTACTGAGCTGTGTCTACTTCAAAAGACTGAAAATAAAAAATCAATAAATCTTTGCCAAATTAAAAAACAAAACAATAGTTTCCAGGTCTTAGACAAAGACAATTCTGTGTCATGAAGGTGGCAAAAGGCTTATTTAGCTGTTAAAATGATTTGCTTATATTTCAAAGAAGCAGAGAAAAAAAGATACATATAAAAGTTTTCCAGGCCAGGCACGGCTGTTCATGCCTGTAATCCCAACATTTGGGGAGGCCAAGGCAGGAGGATCTCTTGAAGCCAAATGTTTGAGTCCAGTACAGGCAACATGGTGAAATTCTGTCACCATAAAAAAATAAATAAAATAAATATGGCTGGGCATGGTGGTTCACGCTTGTAATACCAGCACTTTGGGAGTCGGAGGCAGGTGGATAATGAGGTCAGGGTTCGAGACCAGCCTGGCCAAAATGGTGAAACCCTTTCTCTCCTAAAAATAATAACAATAAAAAATCAGCCAGGCATGGTGCTGTGCGCCTGTAATGCCAGCTACTCAAAAGGTTGAAGCAAGAGAATTGCTTGAACCTGGGAGGCGGAGGTTGCATTGAGCTAAGATCATGCCACTACACTCTAGCCTGACCCACAGAGCAAGACACTGTCTTGAATAAATAAATAAATAAATAAATAAATAAATAAATAAATAAATAAAGTTAGCCAGGCCTGGAGGTGCATGCCTATAGTCCTAGGTAATTAAGAGGTTGAGGCAGGAGGACTGCTCAAACCCAAGAAGTTAAGGTTATAGTGAGCTATGATTATGCCATTGCACTTCAGACTAAGCAAAAGAGTAAGATTCCATCTCAAAAAATTACTAAAAAAAGTTCTCTAAATTACATTGTTTAAGAAAAGGGAAAAGAAAAAATATCTTTTTTAATTTTCAAATGGGAGGATAGAGCCTCTCATTTCTAATATGTATTTCCTTCTGCAAAAACATGGCCTAGGCCCATGGTCTTGAACTACTGGACATCTGAATTTTAGTAGGTGCTGGATTCAGGCAACTGAGGGGTGGCTTGGACACACTAAGTGCACGTAAATAAAAGGTTTGAGGTGAACTAAAAGGTAAAAGAGGGGAAGGTGCTATTAAGAACCCACAATTGGGAGACATTACAGGGTTGGTGGAAGGACTGGTTCATGCTACAGATACTGACCCAGGTGAAACTTTACTCTGACTTATTTCTGTGTCCATGCAGGAAGACGAGATTATGATCAGGTGGCACAGAAACCTGGGATGGTGAAAAAACCAGGTTGCCCCTGCAGATTCGGTGTCTGAGGTAGAGCATATGCCAGGGGTCTTGTAGGCACGTGTGTGGGTTTTTGGTGGGAAAGTCTATGAGGATAGGTAGCATGGGCCACAATCTTTATGCCGAAGCCCTGTGCTGGGAGGGGCTTGACCACGTCAACATGCAGTGTGTATGTTCAGTGGGTGAAAAACATGTGGTGGCCTCAGGTTGGCAGGAGGGTAGAAGGCATCTGTTCTCAGAACTTCTTCCCTCAGAGTCGTCGGTCCTTCTTACCATGGGAGGATGCCTGGAACCACAGGGCAGTTCATGGTGTAGCAGCCTGTGTGCAGAGCAGAGCCTACCTTCCCCGAGACACCTGGAGTCTCTCTCCAGCAGAGGCCCCCACATTGTCTTTCTTTTTATGTTTTTGATCCTAAATGTGGAAAGTTCCCTGAAAACCCACTGATTCTCCAACACCCATTTGTTGCCCCAAAATTTAATTCTGACACAACTTAGAGTTCGCACAGACCCCACAAATTCAGGGCTCAGTCCCACATCACCTCTCTCACTGTAGAGGAGAGTTACACATCCCTGAAACCCATCTACACTTCTGAGCTACCTCCTATAAATCTGAGACTAGCATAAACCCCTTTTCAAGTTAAATAATTTGATAGAATTACTAAAAAGAAAACCTCAACAAATAACTGTAATTATATTTACTACTTTATTATAAAAATATAACTCAGAAACAGCCAAATGGAAGAGATGTCTAGGGCAAGGAACAGTTGTGGGTGAAGGTAATCCTGGAAATAGCTATATTTAAAGAAATTCCCCCATTCTTTGCATTCTCAAAGAACAGCTTAGTGAAGAGAAACGTGCTTCCCGTGATGACTTTGAGGATGCTCCCTGCTGTTTTTTTAACCTATCACAAAAATGGACACAGATTGCAAATTCCCATTTTTAAAAATGAACAACCATTCAGTAATTTAGTCTTCAGTGGTCAAAATAACATACTCTTTACAGAAACTTTGCTTGTTTCTCTTCTTCCAAACAGCCCCTGAACTTTGACTCACCCACAGCTTCAGCAAACCTACAACCCTTATTTATACGTAACCCTCCTAAGAACAGGCTGAGTTCAAGGTGAAACATTATCTTATCTGGGATCTCATTTTGCTACCCTCCATCCTGTGCTTCCTTTCCAACCTTCTTTGTAAACTTGTTTTCTCCTCCCTATGAAATAAGGCCTTTTTCCACCTAACCTTAGAGATACTCAAAGATCTAATCATTTGTACTTTTTCTTTGTTGCAATACTTCTTAGGTAACTTCTTAGACCAAGTCTAGAAACAGTCTGAGGACAATAACAATTCCATTCTAAAAAGAATCTCCCAACATTTCTTCTATCTCTACCTCAACTGCATCTGCCTGTGAACTTCCAGCTTACCAAGGCTCTATATCTTCTGGCAGTGACAAAGGCTCCTTCCATGATTGGTGTGAGTAGGCTTGGACACCTGCAGGGCAGACACCCAGGAATAATCAACTGAGCCTTCAGTGGTCCTCTTTTGCTGGGTCAAGGTGGGCCTTAGCTTTTAGTCGATGGTCTAAGACTTCTACTTACCAGTTAGTCATTCAGTTAGTTTTCAATTCAAAAAATACTTCATGTTTGAAGAATCCAGCAAAAATTATTCAAATCTAAGGTATAAAAGAGAGGAAATTACAGCCGGGCATTGTGACTCATGCCTGTAATCCCTGCATTTTGGGAGGCCTAGGTGGGCAGATGACCTGAGATCAGGAGTTTGAGACCAGCCTGACCAACATGAAGAAACCCCGTCTCTACTAAAAATACAAAATTATCCAGGTGTGGTGTTGTATGCCTGTAATCCTAGCTACTCGGGAGGCCGAGGCAGGAGAATCGCTTGAAACCAGGAGGTGGAGGTTACAGTGAGCAGATGTCTTGCCATTGTACTCCAGTCTGGGCAACAAGAGTGAAACTACATCTAAAAAATAACAGAATAAAATAAAATAAAAACATTATAAGGGGCTTATATCTTATAATTCATCAAGAAAAGCCAAAGTATCTATCCCTTTCAGAAAATAAACATGTAATTTAATTATGTTCATAACAAATCATTTAGTAAACAATTAATCATATGTGAACACTTCCAGGAGGCGCAAAGTCCCAGCTCCTAAAACTTAACATTACCCTCAAACACCCAGATGGCAGCATATGGAATAGAGTTATTCACTTTCACAAGTTCTCTCTTTTGAAAAAAAGAATAACTTATGTGATAAATTTATGTAATTTGACAATTAATCTACCTCATGTGCTTGCAGATATGTATTCATTTCCTACCACCGTAGTGGAAGAGATACTATCCCTATCTTTACAACTGATAGCATTTCCAACAGTAAGCTGTGAGATTCTGCTTGAAATCACCTCTCAAACAAATAAAAAACAGACCTGGGAGACATGCTACGCTCATTCTGCTGAAGAAATAGGTAAGTAACAATTTTTAACAAATGAAATATATTACTACTTAATTTTATTCAAAATTCACCAACTTAATGTGCTTTATAAATATTCTCATACCTTTGAAGCTCTACTGATAAAACATAATTTACAGTTAATGAAAAAGTGAAGTTAAAATAAATACAATCATATTTTCAAGGTGACAAAATTAGAAGGTGACAATGCTGATTGAAACACAGACATATCTGACCCAAGGGTCAAGTCAAGCCGTTCTATTACTTGGGATATTTTCCCTGCTCCTATCTGGTTCAGTGATGTGGGTCATGAGCGTCCTACCAGGAGCTGCTACGCTCTGCTCCACTGTGTCTGTAAGGTGCATTTTACTTTGCAGGTTTTTGCACTGCCTCACTAGGTTGGGTTTCTTTATCCTTTGAAATATTTTCTCTCCCTTCACCAATCTGAGGACATTTTTTCCTCAATATCAGCATCCAGTTGCCTGGCCTGCAATGTGTCTCTAAGGAATGGAAACTAAGCGTTGGGGTAAGAAATTCTTAATGTCCTAAGAGGTTTGCTTTTAACGCAAAGGTATACGTGGAGATTCCTTCCAGGTATAGTGCATCCAACCACTCCAAAAAGAGGCTGCATTCCCATACCTTGGGCTGTTCCCTGAGAGGAGATGACACAAGGGATGCTATTTACTAGACACTTCAAGAGTCATGGCCAGTGTTGGTATCTTGGGGATTCTCAAGCAGTTTTGAAACCCAAAACCAAGAAAATAACACAGGATGGCTGAGGATGTATTGCCCTGTGAGGTTTCTGAAATGAAACCTCAACCCAAAGACATTCTGATGGGGTGTCTGTGCCAAGGCAAGATTAAAGAAAGGGGCACAAATATTTTCTTTTCTTTTCTTTTCTTTTTTTTTTTACTGTGGATTGTCAGGGGATTATTATCTGCTTTCATGTCCTGTAAAATGTTTACAAATGAAAAATATTTTTTTAAGTGCCATCCACTGCTTTTTGAAAAAATGCAGAATTAAAATACTATGTCTAAAATGTACAATAAAGAACAGTTGATAATGTTGTGAGTTACACAAGGTTAGTTAGTGTTGGTAAGTGTCAGGAAAGAACTGGAAATTTAAACTCTGACTGCAAGCAAGAGTTAGGCTGGGGTAACAGGGTGGTAGATTTGAGGCTCTTCTTGCCACACATTTGGAAAATGCATGAGAAAATGAATTCTTTTTTGGAGCATTAAAACAACTAAAAAACAGGCAATTGCATTGAGGTGGCTCTAGTGTACTGACCTCTGAGTGGAGAGACAGGCAAAGGCATCCCTAGATCCAAAAAGCTGCCCATTCTTCTCCAGCTGTGCACCTGATTAGATAATTTCCACTCCAGCACCCGTGACTGGATATAGTTCAATTCCCCACCAAGCCCCCTCAGGCCATGAGTGACATATGTGATTTGACACTGGATTGAATAAAGCAAGAATTATAGGTTTTTCCTGGATCCTTTTCTGGCAGGGCTTCCTTCATGCACTGGACACTGGCCCTGCCTGTAAAATACTTGCATTTTCATTTGTGTGTAAGATTATTTGTATTTATGAAAAATATATATGTGTTATTCATACATGGAAGCAATATAATGACAATTATTTTAAAATTTCAGATTTTTTACTTCCTGGCACATCCAGGTTTTAGAGCAGGCAGCCTGAGATTTCAAAAATGAGGCAATTCTCTAAGAAATAATATGTGAGGCACATGTGAATTTTAAATATTCTAGTAGCTACATTTTAATAAATACACCAGGCATGGTTGCCTGTGCCTGTAGGTTGAAATGTTTGGGAGACTGATGTGGGAGGATCATTTGAGGCAAGGAGTTTGAGACTAGCCCATGCAGCATAGAGAAAGCCATCTCAACAACAACAACAAAAAAAAAAATTGAAAAATTAGCCATGCCTGGTGTATGCCTTCAGTCCCAGCTACTCAGAAGGCTGGAGCTGGAGGATCACCTGAGCCTGGGAGGTCAAGGCTGCAGTGAGCCATGATCACACCACTGCACTCCAGCCTCACTGACAGAACAAAACTCTGACTCAAAAAACTGATCTCTGGAAAGGCATTTTCTTTTTCTGTAACGTAGCCAAATAGCTAAATTTGTATTGAAGCCATCCTTTAATTTTTAACAGGGCAAGAATATTTTCTAAGACCCTGAACTCCAGATATGTGATGGGGCAAATCCTGAAGCGTACATGGCTATCTCTCACAGCTAAAGCATCCCTCACCCCTATCCAGCGCTTCTTACCCCTGGCGCAAGAGAATCACCTGCGGGGAGGAAAACTTTCAAAATCCCTTAAACCCAAGTTGTAACCGCACAACTAAATCAGAATCCTTGGAGCTGGATCTGAAAAAAATACGGTTGAAAGTTGTGCAGGTGATTACAATGTGTAGGCAAGCCAGAAAACCATGGCTTTAACGAGCAGCTTTTGTTAGAAATGATTTCTCAAATGAATGTAAAAACGTTTGCTGCTGAATTGTGACCTTTCAATTTTACCTGCTTTTCCTGCAAAGTATATTTTGCAGACCCAGGCTGGCTTCTCCTTCTGTTCATGGTTCACCCAGTGCCGTGTGTGCTCAGTGCATCCTGTGCACGGGTCACTGTGCTGTGTGCGCTGGCCTGGGTGAGCATCATTCTTCGGGGAGAACCTTTCTGAAAACAAAGCTGCAATCCAAAAAGTTAAAACCATGCTACTTACTGTACTGAGGTAAAAATTAAAAGACCTAGGGGACTCTTCCAAAAGTTAAAACGTAAATAAATATCTTGGAACATTAATATACACCTGACGATGTCCTGAGAGAACACGCCCCACTTTAAAACAAAACAAAACATTACTATTATTCTAAAATATTAATTTAGGATTGTTATGCAAATATGTACTATTTAAATATTTATTGATGAATAACTTGCATACAGCAATATAGGAACAAAATATTTATGGAATGCTTGATGAATTATTACTAAATAAATACACTTGTGTATGTAAGAATCAGATTTGCTCATGCCCTTGACACTTTCTCCTTCCCAAAGGTAACCAAGACCTTAAGAGCTAAGTGTAGATAAACTTTGTCATTTTCTACACGTGTTTTATTACAGAACATTAAAAACGTATACATAATACAAAAAAAAGATAACAGACCAGTCACCCAGATTTAACAGCTGCTAGTCATGTGTCATTTTTGTTTCACCTATACTTCCAGCCATTCCCACCCCAGTTTCATTATTTTTTAGCCTTTTTGGATAAAATGTATATTCATTGCAAGGTACAATGTGAACTGTGAATAGTAGAGAGATGGGGTTTCACCATGTTGACCATGCTAGTCTTGAACTCCTGTCCTCAGGTGATCCACCTGCTTCGCCTTCCCAAATTGCTGGGATTACAGGCATAAGCCAATATACTCAGCCTGAGAATTCATACTTCTAAGAAAGTACAAATCCATAGGGCACATGAGAACTGCAATGTCTATCTACAGTAAATACAGTTTGATAAATAAAATGAAAGGCAATTGACCTAAGGTGAAAAAAAAAACAAAAAACAATCAAAGCATGGGTACTATGTGTCATCTGTAGGAGCATTTGGTTAAGAATAACAAACAAACCAGTTTTATTGTTTTAATAGCCGAAATTGGCAAAATTTCTAGTTTTTCTTTCATAGGAATGCTCTTTGCAAGAAAAAATTTTCATATAGTGAGAGCAAAAATGGCAACCATTTGCAAGTAAATGTCTTATGAAATTAAGTAGCAGATATCAAGCTCATGACCTTCAGATAGTTACCCCTAACTCAATCACTTACATAGCAAGTGCAGATAATTTTCATAGCTCCCTATTAAAATTATATTTGAATGCCCTTACAAATTGTGACTGTTTTTAAATAAAGTTGACCAAATAAAATTTTGTATATGACATATGATAAATTCCCCTTCAAGTCACCTTACATTTACTTAATTTTATTAGGCAGTGTCTGTCTACCACCCAATAATACTTGACGATTCTCCCTCCATTTGCACAGGCATCATAGCTGGGAAACGGATTCACAAGACCCAGGCTGTTCCCTACATATGTTTCCTCCTCCGACATCAGTTCATCAGTCAATCAAGCCATGTGAGAGTGGAGGCCTTGTATTCCCTATTATTCTTGGGCACTCTACTCCAAGTAGGAAAAGGCCAGGAGGTCCTGTTAAAGGATGCACTCAGAGCCCGGGCTCCCTAACATATGAGAGTGCTAACCAGCAGGTGTAGACTTTTCAGGAGTGAAGAATGAGGCAGGCATTCCAAACCTGGACCTTCATCACCTTTTGTTTCATCTCAAGACAATTCTGAGGGACTGTTTTGGAGCGTGTCTGGAAGGTGAACCTTGAAGAAGAGTGTGGGTTTTGATGTGACTCAGTTGAGATCTTTCATGGGGAGGCAGGAATTCAATGCCCAGAATCTGGGCTGGTGTCTTTGAGGTCAGTAGGTTGCGTCTTTGTATCCAAGTCCATTGTTACTAGGTTGGAGGCTGGAGATTCTAAATGGCTTCCAGACCATCTCTCTGATTCTCTTTGGGAGATGGGGTCTGAAAGACAATGTCAGTAGTTTTGGGAAATTCTAGAAAGTGTGCTTGGAAACGTGGGAAGAGCTCTTGCCTAGTGCCTAAATGCTCCATTTGCAGCTCTAGCCAAGTAGATACTTGGTAGGTATAGAGCCGGGTTTGCGTTTATATTAGCAAAACCTATGTCAGAGTTGAAGAAGTAGTCAGGAAAAAGCGTCTTGGTCGCAGGCCGGGGAACATCTTAAAAGCAAACTTCTAGCCTGCTGACTCTTGGCAATGAGTGTTGGATCCTGGCTAAAGTGCCTTGAATGCAGCATGAGGCCAATCCATGAATCCAACTTCTCATGGAGAAATGTTAATATTTTTTCAGTTTGAATCAATCAGGGTGAAACTACCATGCTATTGGTTTGCTTACTTTTTATTATTTCATGTAAAATCTAAGACAAAATACATTAAATGCTTATTGACATATGTATTTATTCTTCACCAGGCTGATAATATCTGCCTAATTTTAAACTTTCTTCCATTTTGTAGGTTTCAACTTATTCTATTGTAAGATACTGTTAAATCTAATAGAGGCATTGTCACTTTTACGTATAATTTTATTTTATTTCATATATTTCCTATTGGTTTTTTACATTTAAATTATGGAGCACTTCATCATATAAAAAACTTCAATTATATTTAAACAGTAAGTCTTTGGATTTTTTTGCCTTTTAATTTCCATATTACATAATAATGAGATAAACATTAATGTTTTCAGGGTACTTTAAATTTTAGATAATTACTCATTGTATTCATGTGAAATTTGTTTTTACTGCATGTGTGGGTTGGAGGACGGTTTTCACTTCTGATTCATCTTTACTCTTATCTCATCAGAGCTCATACCTCTTGTAGTTGGGGGATTGCAGTTTATAATTCCAATAAATGGGGCAAATTCAATAATAACATAATACAAATGAGTTTGAATGCAGGACAGGTCTTCAAAGCATACACAACATGGGCCTACATATGTACAACAATAATAATTTATAAGTTACTGTTTGGATGGAAAGTAAAAGTACAGAAAATTTGTTAAAGGAAATTAAAATGGAGATCATGTCTCAATAATCTCTGAGCAGACAAAATTAGTTAGGTCTCATAAGTGATCTCAACCTCGCTTGATTTGCAAATACAAACAAAACTTACATTATTTCTTGTAGCTGCATATTGAAAAAAGAGAAATGAAGCTCAACCAGTCAGAAGTAGCCAACAACCTTATATAAATAGAAACTGTCCAACAAGGTAAACAGACAAACAAAAAACAATAAAAAAAGTTGTGCTACCACCAAATGATTTCTTTGTTTCTACATTTTTCAAATAAATACTTGCTTCTTACACTGTCAATGAAGCACTCAATATCTTTCCGTCTGATATTTTATAATTTATCAATTGCTCTTACTCAAATAAACACTTTGCAATTTCATTGTGTCTCAAATTACTTTTTAGCAGAATAAACTAGGAATAAATATTACAAAAATATCTACGGAATATGGAAAAAACATAGAAAGTTTATGAAATATATGAATGTAGACATAAGCAAATAGACAATTTGTATCATATTCTTAGGCAGAAAAACTCAATATTATCAACATCAATTGTCCTTATAGTTATTTATAAATTCAATTTTGTTCCTATACTGATACCATTAAATATTGCAAGTACACGTTACTATAAAATGTTATATAGATGAAAACACAAACAAGAATAGACAAGAAAACTCTGAAAAAAAAAAAAAAAACCCACTGGCAAGCCCTGCGTAAAATCTTGATTGATTAAAAAACTCATGGATCACTGAAACTAAAAATTCAGAAATAAACCAAAGTGTCTAAGAAAGTGTCATAGTGCATCTTGGCTGCTATAACAAAATACCTTAGACTGGGTAAAGGATAAATAAGAGAAATGTATTTTTCACAGTTATGGAGTCTGGAAAGTGCAAGATCAAGGCAGCAGCAAATTTCGTATATGGTGAGAGCCCTATTCCCCATAGATGGTACCATCTCGCACATGGGACAAGGGCATTCCCTTCAACTTCCTTTGAAAGAGCACTGATTCCATTCATGAAGATGAAGAACTCTTGGCTTCACCACTTTCCCAAAGGCCTCACGCCTAAAATTATACACATGAATTTGAAAGGGGACATAAACATTCAGGCCATAGCAATAAAAACTACATGGGTGGTGGCATCATTTATACATGAGGTGTAAAAATGTGATGTTCTTATCACAAAGGAAATAAATGATTTATTCTTCATGGCATATATCAAAATGAAGGTCCAATGAAAATATTTTTATGAAGATAAATCTATATGGCAAAAAATTAAGTATTGATAAGTTTAACCCTACAGGTTGCATCAGGATTTTCAAGGTTTCCAGGGATGAGCAAGGCCCTGGAGTTTCCTCCTGTGACATTTTCCTGGAAGTTGCTCATGCTGTTATTCAATTTGAAAGTAGATAATATTGTTTGTTTCTCTTCCAATATTTACTAAATTCAAAATAATATAGGGCTCTTTACTCATAATTCTCAAACAATCATTCAGTCAGTGGGGCTCTGCTGAGGAAGAGCACAGACACATCCACACAAGTATGGTGTTCCTCAAATAGAGGACTTCTCCTTGTGCTGGAGCCACCTATGTTGCACTCGATCAGAGGCTTTCCCAGGATAGCATTTCTCTGCAGCCCTACCTCAGTCTTAACCCTGAAAATCCCACTCAGAAGGCGACGGATGAACACCCACCCTAGCATTCTAATCTAATGGATCCTCTCTTAACAATCCCTTCCAGGGATCTGGGATCTTTCCTGGATTCGTCGGCCACACACACCTAGGCTCAAAAATTTGGACAGAAACTTTGATCCTCATTGGCCCTCCTGCCCTGTCCTACCAGCTTCTCTAGAAGTATGCTTCTCTAGAAGTATGCTTCTCTAATTGCTCCTTAGAGACACTATCTAAGGGTATCAACCTGTGCCAATATAATTGATCTCATAAAGTGAGAAGGGAAATAGGCAAGAGTCCAGCTAGCCTAGAAGCAGTGTCTAGGGTTCCTTACCTGATTTATGTCTCTGATTTACCTAAATATTGACAAATACAGATTCACCTCTAGGCAGTAGAAAAACAGAAGGAGAAATCCCAGTTCGTAGAGGAAGAAGAAAATGCAATCAATGCTGTCTAGAGTCCCGCTTAAGCTCAGCCACAGGGTACTAAGTCTCTTCAGGAAAAAGCAATTGTTGTCCATCATCTGAAAAACTGTGGCCTGGAACCATGGGCACCGAGAGTGCACACTGCCCACTAGAGTTCCATGCCTACATCACGGAGAGATAGAATAGTCTCAAAGGATTCTTAAGAGTAATGTGGGGACCAAAAGGAGATGAATCCACAGCCTCTGCCTTACCGTCTGATCTAACTAATAGTATTTCCAGACCTTTCTGTGGGCTGCACCAGGGGTTGTTCAGAAAGAAAAAAAGTTGTTAATGTCCCACCGTTTCCCGTAGCTTCCGAGGTCTGTGTTGTTCATACCCCAGGTTCCAGGTTGTTCTCCCACTACTTCCACAGAATCAGTGTGTCTCATTCCGGTACCTATAATCTCATCTTTATTCTAGTCGCCCTCTACTTTTTTCTAGACACTTTATCTACTAGAGGCAGTTAAAATAGAGACAAGAATATTTACATAAAACTTAGCTGGAACTAAGTTGGAGTCCCATAACTGCTACTAGGCTGAGATGCAACTCAGAGGATACAAAAGCCAGGCTTGCCTAGAATTGCAGTTATGGGAAAGAAAGTCACATTTCACCCAGGAATTATTAGCACGAAATTCCAAGTTTGTGAAATAGATTCCTAGATGATTCCTAGATCTCCCAATCATTTCATCCTTATCTTGGAGGCAATCAGGAAGAGAAAATAAACCATACCTAATCAACAAATTATCTAACCAGCATGTGTGGAAAAGGAGGGAACATCATAGAGTTGGCTTGTTTTAGTACGTGTGGTGAAAAATGCCGCGAAGTCAGAGCTCAATTGGTCTCAAAAGCCTAAAAGATGGCACAGATTAGCTTCACGGGACACATGGTATGGATGGTGTCAGCATACTGTTATGCTGAAGATGTCAAGAGTGGTGACTGATATCTCAAGAAGTGGGCCAAAAGTCCACTTCTGGTTACTCTGCTTGGTATGGTCTAGGAATTCTTCAACCATGAGACAAATAGGTCAACTTTCACCAGCAACCCCAAGTCTGGTTTGCAGTATTAGACTCTGCGTTAGACACAGATTTAGGTTCAATCTGCAGCTTGATTGTTGTCACTCTCTAGAAAACAAACCCTTACCATGGACTTCTAGATGAGTGATCCAGTTAGATCAGCATCTGAGATTGTCTCCAGTTTGCAGCCCAAAAGACATTCAGACAGTCTACAGTTTCCATTGTAGATAACCAAACAGATAGAATATGTGCCATTATCCCAAACCCTGAGTTCTGACCTTTGAGAGGAGCAACCACTCATGTCAGGTTCTGTATGGCTGGCACAGGTTAAACAGCCACAGCGGCCCAGTGGACATCATGAGGTTTCACCTTCCCTGACTCATCTATGAACCAGGACCAGTCATATAGGAAACACTCAGTAAATTGGGGGCCCCACAGAGACAGCATCTTTGCTTCAGAGGATAGAAGGAGGTATAAAATTTCAACCAGCTGGGGATGCTCTAGCCCTCTATGGGTGAAACTGAGTTTCTCAGGAGTTCTGCAGCAAGCTCTTAGCTGACTTTCAAATCAGTGTAACCAGTAGTGTGTCACTGAGTCCAAAAGCCCAAAGAACACCTCTGGGAGGAGGCTAGTCCTTTACTAGAGGCTCCAAATGCCAAAATCAAGATTTTCTTGACCTCAGGATGAATTGATCAATGCAAATCTCCCCAAATATTTTCACTAAACCTTAATTGGAAAGTAAGACTCCAGATTTTTTAACTCTCACTAAACATAAATATCTGATTTTTTCACCTGAGATCTATGTATGTGTGTTGGAGCATGCCTTTACCAATCAGCATAAAGTTACATCTCTCCTTGCGCCTCTACTTTCTACTTGTGCAGAGTTTAAAATGCAGAGGTGAGAGCTTAGGGTTTTCTGGGTCTTTTGCTAAGCATGTACCTGACCTTGAGCATCCCCAATTCCCCATTTCCTTCTTGATCCCAAAGACCGTTATCACAGTCTTAATTCCCAGCAGCTTTTCCTCCTAGAGCTTTTTGACATGATTATTCTTAGACCCAACTGATATCCTTCGTTCCTGGTAGACTGCGTAGCTCATTTCCATTTAAATGCTTTTAGAAATATTAAACTATGGATTTAAGATTTATCTGCTTTTTAAATTAAGTAATGCTGCTCTTAGCCTTCCACAGGACTTGAGGGTTATAAAAAAAAAGGAAGAAAATAATTATTTTATACCAATAGTATGAAAAAGAGACTGGGAATGACTATATTAATAGCAGACAAAATAGACTTAAAAACTTAAAAGAGACAATAAGACATTATATAGTCATAGATTGTCCATTTGGCAGGAAGATAGAAATAGTTTAAACCCATACCTAATAATAAAACATTGAGATATAGAAAGCATAACTTGACAGAATTAAAAGGGCAAAAAGGCAGTTCTAAAATAATAGTTGAAGATGTTAATACTCCACTCTGAGTAATGAATAGAAAAATGAGATAGATGATAAATTAGGAAATAGAGTTCTTGAATAACTCAATGAACCAAATTGATCTAACAGATATATACAATATACTCCATCCAACAAAAGAGACTACACACTCTTCTCAAATGCACATGGGGATTTCCCCACGATGGGCTGTGTAGTAGATCTCAAATTAAATCAATAACAGAAGAAACGTTAGAAAGTTTACAAAACTGTATAAATTAAACAACATACCCTTAAACAACAAATAAGTAAAGGAAGAAATCACAGAGGAAGTTGGAACATACTTACAGAGGAAGAAAAATGAAAACAAAACACATCAAAAGTTAAGGGAAACAGCAAAAAGAGTGCTAAGATGTAAAGTTTGCAGCTAAAATACATTTAAAAAGAACAAAGATTTCAAATAAATAATAACTTTATCACCTAGTAAATTAGAAAAATAACACCAAATTAGATGCAAAGCAAAGAGAAAGAAGAACATATTAAAGCTTTTAGCAGAGATAAATGCAATGGAGATTATACAAACCACAGAATTCCAAAAAACCAAAAGTTCATTCTCACTTCTTCAAAAAATTAACAATTGGCAAACTTTCAGCTACACACACAAAAAATTAACAGCATATTCACATACTAAAATGAGAAATGAAAGTGGGACATTACTACTAATTCAAAGAATTAAAATGTTTAAAAAACTGTACTGTGAACTATGATAGGATGATAAATTGGAAAACGTAGATAAAGTGGGCAGATTCCTAGGTATACAAGACTTGATTACAAAGAAATACAAAATCTGAATAGATACAAAACTACTAAGGAAATGGAATCAGTAATTAAAAGCCTCCTCATAAAGAAAAGCCCTTATTTTGTTGGCTTCACTAGAGATTTAGATCAAGCATTTATAGAACAAAAATCCTTTCCAAAGTCTACCAAAAGCCTGAAGAGAGCAGTTCCAAACTTATTCCATGAAGCCACCATTAGCTCATACCGAAGCCAGACAAAGATACTACAAAAACCCATAGACTAATATCCCTTATGAACACGGATGCAAAACTAGTCAGCAACATCCTAGCTAACTACATTCAGCAGCATACTAGCAAGATTACAACCCATGACCAAGGGGAGTTTATTATTGGAATGAAAGGAAGTTTTAGCATATGGGTGGTTTCAGTGCAGTGGTGTTTACAAATAATTGATCACAACCAGTATAGATTTCTTTATTCTTTTTCCAGTCTCACTGGTTCACTTAGCTAGCCTTTCTTAACAAAAGTTTAAGCATATGAAAATTAATCAATGCATATGCCACATTGACAAACTTTTTAAAAAGTATTCTCTCATTAATACAGATAACGTATTTTACAAAATTCAAAATATTTTATAATAAAAACAATAAATTAGGAATAAAAGGAAACCAGCTTTGTAAAATTCACATATAAAAACCCACAGCAAACAACATATTCCAGAGGAAAAGATCAAAAGTGTTTCCTCTAAGCTCCGAAGACAGAGTGAATATCTGCTCTTGCCAGCCACTTTTATTCAACACTGTATTAGAAGTTTCATTCAGAGAAATTAAAAAAGACAATGAAATAAACTGCATCAAAGTGTGTACAGAAAATATATTCTTATATGTAGAAAATCTTTAAGATTCCACACAAAAAAATTACAACTAATAAATTCAGCTGAATAGTAGCATACAAAATCAACATACAAAAACGAACTGCATTTTATGTAGTAACATGAATAATCTGAGAAGAAAACTCTGAAAACAATTCAATTTACAATAGTATCAAAAGAATAAAGTAGTTAGGAAGTAACGAAGAAGTAAAATGCCAATTACTCTTGTGTAGATATTAAAAAATCAATTTTTAAGTTTATGGGGAATCTCAAAGATCTTTAAATTGCAAAAATAATTTTGAAAAAAATACCAAAGTTAGACAAGTCACACTTAATGATTTCAAGACTTACTACAAAATTCCAAAATAGCATGCTACAAAGAGACTAATGGAGTAATATAGAAGGCCCATATAAATAAACCCTCATATATAAGGTCAAATGATTTTTATGGGAAATGAACTGCCTTTACAACAATTAGTGCTGGGGAAATTGGGTGCCCACATGTAAAAGAGTGAAGCTGGGCCCTTAACTTCTACTATAAGAAAAAATTAACTAACTGGATAAAAGACCTAAATGTAAGAGCTAAAACTACAAAATTCTTACTATAAAATGTAGGTAAAACACGTCATAAGGCTGGATTTGGCAGTGATTTCTTTTAACAGGGCACCAAAAACGCAAGAAACAAAAGAAAAATAAATAAAGAGGACTCTATCCAGAATATACAAAGAACAATTCAGCAATAATAAACTACTTGTTTAAAATATGGGCAAAATACTTAAACAGATATTTCTCTAAAAATTATGTGAAGTGGCTTATAAGCCCATGAAAAGGTACTCAACAAAACCTTTTCATTTTCATTAGTAAAATGAAAATCTAACCCCAAATGACATATCACTTAATGCACATCAGCATAACTAGTACAAAAAGAAAAAAAAAACAGAAAATCACAAGTGTTGGTGAGGAAGTGGAGCAGTTAGAACCCTTGTACACTTGGTGGAAATGTAAAATGCTGCAGCTGCTATAAAACAACACCATAGTAACGAAATAATTTACACTCAAAATCACCGTATGATCCAGCAATTTCACATCTTGGTATGTTGCAAAAGATGTGAAAGCGAAGACACAAAATAATACACGTACACCTAAGCTCATAGCAGCATGACTCACTTCACTCAAAATGTTTTTGAATTACCTGTGTTGTTTGAATTATCGTCAATGAATAAATAGATAAAATGTGATTTATACATACAGTGGGATATTATTCAGTTATGAAAAATAAGGAAATTCTGACACATGGTAAGTCATGCATGAACCTTAAGGACATTGTGCAAAGTGACATGAGCCAGTCATAAAAGGACAAATACTGTATCATTCCACTTATGAGATACTTAGAGTAGTTAAATTCTGGAAACCCACGTAGAAGAGTGGTTCCTAGGAGCTGGAGGGGGAGTAACAGGGAGCTGTTATTTAATGTGTATTGAATTTTGGTTTGGAAGTTGAAAAAAGATCCTTATGAATGGGAATAATAGTTGCAAAACAATGTGAGTGTAGTTAATTTCTCTGAGCTGAACACTTAAAATAGTTAAGATGGTTAATTTTATGTATACTTTGCCAAAATGTAAAAAATATTTTTTAAATAAACAAACTATAGCTATCTGCAATAGCATGAATTAATATCATAAATATAAAGTTGCCTAGAAGAAAGTAGATGTAAAAGTATACATATTATATAATTTCACTTATATAAAATCCAGAAAGTGAACACAACTGAGGTTCTGGTTTCCAGTAATAATGAAGTAGACTAGTTCGTTGAATAACTATTTCACAGATAACAATAATAAAGCTTAATAAAATACTATATTTTGCTATATAGAAAGGCACACTGTTTAGAAGACTGAATGAAGATTTTATCTATGCCACTGTGGAAGAGATAAGGATTGGGGTTTGAATCTATTCAAATTAACTCCCTCTTAAAATAATAATTTTCAAAGAAATACAACAGAATCCAGAGTCCCTGTAGTTCCTATCACACAATTTAAAAATTCATGAGATGTGTGAAGAAGCATGAAAGTGTAATCGATTCACAAGATAAAAAGCAGACAATAGAACCTATTCTCAAGATGTGCAAGATGCTGTAATCAGTAGATAAGATTTGAAAGAAGCTATGGTAAGTACGTTCATGGGGGTAAAAGAAAACAGTCTCATGACAAATGAACAGAAGCGTAACTGTACATTTCATGCGCGTCCGTGTGAAGAGACCACCAAACAGGCTGTGTGTGAGCAACATGGCTGTTTATTTCACCTGGGTGCACGCGGGCTGCGTCCGAAAAGAGAGTCAGCGAAGGGAGATAAGGGTGGAGCCGTTTTATAGGATTTGGGTAGGTAAAGGAAAATTACAGTCAAAGGGGGTTTGTTCTCTGGCGGGCAGGAGTGGGGGTCGCAAGATGCTCAGTGGGGGTGCTTTTTGAGCCAGGATGAGCCAGGAAAAGGACTCTCACAAGATAATGTCATCAGTTAAGGCAAGGACCGGCCATTTACACTTCTTTTGTGGTGGAATGTCATCAGTTAAGGTGGGGCAGGGCATATTCACTTATTTTGTGATTCTTCAGTTACTTCAGGCCATCTGGGCGTATACGTGCAAGTCACGGGGGATGCGATGGCTTGGCTTGGTCTCAGAGGCCTGACATACACTCCCAGTCTTTTGGTCACAGGGCTGTGGGACTGAGGAGGGAAATTAAAGAAAAATAAAATTAAAAAGAAAGAGAAATAAATTTTCTTGTATTGGGCTGACTTGTCCCAGAGGCTTCAACAGGCACAGCCCAGAACCAGGAATAGTCTTGATAATATTATCTAATGTGCTCTGGAGGCTCTCCCAACGCTCCCCCAACATCGGGAAAAGAAAAACAAATTTCCTTTTTTTACGGAATGAGTTTATAGATTCTTGTTCTCTGTAACTAGTGACTTCAAGTATTCTGTTTTATCTAAGAAGTACAATGTAAGTCATGAGAAGCCTGAGTAGGCTGAACTACAGCTGTTTGGGCACCATAGTGAGGGTTATAGGATAAGCCCATGCCCAGGGAAACCTAGAAAATGGACATGTGGGTTGCTTGGCAACGGTCATGTGCAATCCTGTCTGTCCTGCCTCTGTATCCCTGCTTTCACGCCACTGTAAACTTGCTTCAAGCTAGCCCACCACCTTTTGTGAAATGTGCATAAAAGTCAGGTTCTGTCTTTGTTCCGGGCCCAGTCTTTTTGATGTGAGTTAGCTTGTCCTCAGTTTCATGCGCGTCCGTGTGAAGAGACCACCAAACAGGCTTCGTGTAAGCAATAAAAGCTTTTAATCACCTGGGTGCAGGCAGGCTGAGTCCGAAAAGAGAGTCAGCAAACGTAGATAGGGATGGGGCCATTTTATAGGATTTGGGTAGGTAAAGGAAAAAGGGGGATTGTTCTCTGGCGGGCAGGAGTGGGGGGGTCACAAGGTACTCAGTCGGGGAGCTTTTGAGCCAGGATGAGCCAGGAGAAGGAATTTCACAAGACAATGTCATCAGTTAAGGCAGGAACAGGCCATTTTCACTTCTTTTGTGGTGGAATGTCATCAGTTAAAACAAGAACCGGCCATCTGGATGTGTACGTGCAGGTCACAGAAGGTACGATGGCTTAGCTTAGGCTCAGAGGCCTGACACTGAGTGCACTCAATAAAAATTCTCCTGTTTCAACCCGGGGTCTCTCTCATCCTCCTGAATCCCGCAACGGGAGAATTCCAGCATGCACCAGGTTCACGGGACAGTGCACGGTCACTGAAAGAAGAGTGGGGCGGGGAGGGTGGTGTGCGGCTATGAGCACCTCTTGTGCTTGCTGGGAGATGTAGTCTTATAAAGACTCCCAGCCCTTTGGTCACAGGGCTGCAGCACCCCAATTCCAGCATACACCGGAATCAGAGACAGTGCGCGCTGGCAGAGGAAGAGGTAGAGCTGTGCGTGACTCGCTGGGCTTGATGGAAAATGTAATCTCATGAACACTCCTTAATGAACAGTGCGCCTCACTGGAGGAAAAGGCGGGGCTGTGCAGGCCTTGCTTTGCTTGCTGAGAGATGCTGTCTCATAAACACTCCCAGCCCTTTGGTCACAGGGCTGCAGGACTACATTCCCATCATGCACCGGGATCAGGGATAGTGCATGTGCCTGGGTGAAGAGACACAGTTTTGCGAGCCTCCTTTGGCTTCCTGGGAGATGTAGTTTCATAAAGACACCCAGACTTTTCATTACAGGGCAGCCGGACTACAATCCCAGTATGCACCAAGATCAAGGATAGTGCGCGTAACTGCAGAATGAGGCGGCATTGTGCACGCCTCGCTGGACTTGGTGGGATATGTATTCTCATAAACATACCCAACCCTTTGGTCATAGGGCGGGAAGACTACAATCCCAGCATGCACCTGGCTAAGAGACAGTTCCTGTCACTGGAGGAAGAGGCGGAAGACTACAATCCCAGCCAGCACCGGGCTCAGGGAAATTGTGCGTCAGTGGAGGAAGAGGCGGGGTTGTGTGCTACTCGCCAGGCTTGCTGGGAGTTGTATTCTCATAAAACCTCCCAGCCCTTTCATCACAGGGCTGAAGGACTACACTTCCAGCCCCAGCATGCACTGGGCTCAGGGACAGCGCGCGTCACTGGAGGAAGAGGGAGGGCTTTGCGCTTCTAGCTGTGATTTTTTGGGAGATGTAGTCTCATTAACGCTCCCAGCCCTTTGGTCACAGAGATCCAGGACTGCAATCCCAACATGCACCCAGCTCAGGGATAGTGCGCTAATCACTGCAGGAAGAGGCAGGGCTGTGTGCACCTCCTGGGCGTACTGGGAGATGTATTCTCATAAACACTCCCATCCCTTTGGTCATAAGGCTGCAGGACTACAATCCTAGCATGCACTCAGCTCAGTGACAGTGCGCTAGTCTAAGGAGAAAGAGGCAGGGCAGTGTGCGCCTTGCTGGGCTTCCTGGGAGATGTAGTCCCATGGCCTCTCCCTGCCCTATGGTCACAGTGCTATAAGACTACAATCCCAGCATGCACGGGGCTCAGGGAGAGTCCACATCACTGCAGAAAGAGGGGCAGGTTGTGCGCACCTCGCTGCGTTTGCTGGGAGATGTTGTTTCATAAAGACTCTCAGACCTTTTGTCACAGGGCTACAGGACTACAATCCCAGGATGCATCGGGATCAAAGCAGTATGCGACACGGGGAAAAGATGCGGAGCTGTGTGCGTCTCCCTAGGTCTTCTGGGAGATGTGGTCTCTTGGCCCTTTGGTCACAGGGCTGCAGGACTACAATGCCAGCATGCAGCGGGTTCATGGACAGTGTGTATCACTGGAGGAAGACGTGGAGCTGTGCGTGCCTCGCTGGGCTTGCAGGGAGATGCAGTCTCATAACTACCCCAGTCGTTTGGTCGCAGGGCTGCAGCAGTACAATTTCAGCATATCTCTGGCTCAGGGAGAGTGCACTAGTCACTGGAGGAAGAGGTAGGTCTGTGCGCACCTCTCTGGGCTTGCTGGGAGAGGTAGTCTCATAAACACTACCAGCCCTTTCATCACATCGCTGTAGGACTACAATTCCAGCATGCACGGGGCGCCGGGGCAGTCCGCCTCACTGGAGGAAGAGAAAGACGTGTGAGCGCCTTGCTGGGCTTTCTGGGAGATGTTGTCTCTTTATTTCTCCCAGCCCTTTGGTCACAGGGCTTCAAGACTACAATCCCAGCATGCATCCTGCTCAGGGACAACGCGCGTCACTGTAGGAAGAGGTGGACCTGTGCTGTTCTCGCTATGCTTTTTGGGATACGTATTCTCGTAAACACTCCCAGCCCTTTGGTCACTGGGCTGCATCACTACAATCCCAGCATACATCGGGATCAGGGAGAGTGCGCTAATCAGTGGAGAAAGGGGCGAGGCTCTGCACACCTCGCTGGTCTTGCTGGGAGATGCAGTCTCATAAACACTCCCAGCCCTTTGGTCACTGGGCTGCAGCGCTACAATCCTAGCATGGACCGGGCGCAGGGAATGTGCGCGTCACTGGAGGAAGAGGCAGGGTTGTGCACGCCTCTCTGGGCTTGGTGGGAGTTGCAGTCTCATAAACACTCCCAGACCTCTCATCACCGGGCTGCAGGACTACAATCCCAGCATGCACCCGGCTCAGGGAGAGTGCGCATTACTGGAGGAAAAGTCTAGGCTGTGGATGCCTCCTTCTGCTTGCTGGGAGATGTAGTTTCATAAAGACTCCCAGAACTTGTGTCACAGGGCTGCAGGACTACCATCCCATTATGCACTGGGGTCAGGGACACGGCCCGTCAGTGGAGAAAGAGGCGGGTCTGTGTGCGTCTCCTTCGGCTTGCTGGGAGATGTATTCTTATAAACACTCCCAGCCCTTTGGTCAAAGGGCTACAGGACTACAATCCCAACATGTGCCAGTCTCGGGGGCGAGGTACAGGCCTGGAAGAAGGGGCAGAGTGGTACACGCCCCACCTAATATGCTGGGAGCTGTAGTCTGTTAACTGCTCTCAGCCTGTTTGTCGGTAGGCTTCAGAACTATAATCACAGCATGTACCGGGACCCGGGGTGCATAGCCCTGGAGGGAGGGGCAGAGCGGTGTGGACTTCCCGGTGTCCAAAGCACTGCTGAGTTCTTATGCTATGCCGACTCTTTGCCAAGGAGAATGAGTACATAGGTGGACCTAGAGGACAGGTCTGCGCTGAGCATTGAGGAGGGTATTACCCTACATAGGCACCTTACCTTTGCCCAAATCGGGCGGGTTGTCCTCAACTGATTGGCCCTATCCTTCTCAAGTTCCTCTTTCAGCTGCACCCAGGGTTCTTTCCAGAGCATTGCGCCTTCTGCAGCCCAGGGCGCTACCTTCTTTCCTAAACTGCTGTGGAAACTGTCCTGATGTCTGAGACACTGTCCATTGTGCCGCAGCCCTCTTTTTTCTCTAGCCAAGCCTCATGCTCAACAGCTTTTGAGAGAAATCTTCCACGTGGCCTGCTTATGAACAGCTTCAGAATTCTGTAGGGGGTGACAAGGTCTGTGGCTTCCTGGAAATGTCACTCTCAATGGCGCCTTTTTCACGAATGTGAAAGTTGAGGCATCAGGAAGGTTAATTATTGGGTTGCACAAAATCTGCTAAGAGCAAAGGAGAAAACCCCATTTCCGAGGCATGAGTCTTGTGAGCCATTTTCATCAACCCATTTAAGTGGACAAGCTCCAAAATGAAACCTGAAGCTGCTGACTATTTAGGCATTTTACACTTGAAATCATCGGTCTCATCTCAAGTCACTCCTGACTTGCCAGTGTCTCAGAAACACAAATGGGACCGGATCCCTCAGGAGCAGATAGTGTTCCAGCTTTGTTGGAGCGACATTTAAGATGTGGAGCACTTGGGGTCGTTTGAAACCCGCTATCTTCAGTAGGGACTTTTACTTCTAGAGAACATGTGCATTTTGATTTTATCTGTCCTCAAACTGAACTTTTGCTCATTTTAATAGTAAAAACACATTCCTAGGTGGAGACTTAAGATGCTAATGAGACATGCAATGTATGCACAAATATGTACAGTTAGTGCACATGTGCACCCAGAAGACCACTCAAAACATGCTTACACTAACACTTCTTTCCACCTTCTTATGAATAATCGTGCAAAACCCCCAGAAGGAGGGTTTCTCCAGTAACAATTAATGGTGTCTCACTCTTATGAGCAGCCTGCCCTGCAATCTCTTTCTCAGAATGTACCGTCTATTCTGCACTTAATTTTCAAAGTAGTCTTTTCTTTTTTTGTGTGCAATAAATTACTCTATGCTGTACTTCTTTTGCTGTGTGTTTCTTGTTTGAATTCTTTTAAACTAAGAAAATAAGAATCAAGGTATTACATCAGCCATCAACATTTCTTTTGCCATGGCCTGGAGAGAGGTCTGTCCGCTTCACTGATTTCACTTTCCCTTTACTTGCCGTGAATACTGTGGCACTTCCAGACTACCTGGTTAACTATCGCTGGTTCTTCCAGCACTGTTTCACTAAAGTTCTGGGGAAACCCTGTCCCTTTAGGCTTTATGCATTTCCCAGCTCCTTGAAATTGTTCTTCAACAGGCTTTCTTTGCTGAACAAAAGATGCACAGTCATGGATATGCCCAGTCATAGGGATTGAATCTGAGCATTGCAGGTGTTATAATTGGGCATCATAAATGGCAAACCACTGAATTAGGGAAAGGCTTGTCAGCCAGACATCTGCTCCCCAGCGAGCAGTGGGGGTCATCTCGGCAGGGCTGGAGATGTCCAGCGCTGGTGAGAGCTAGGACGGTGCATGGCAAATGCCTATGACCTCCTAGAGCTTCAGTTAATGGGGTTTCAAGGGGATGAGTTGGACAACTTGGTGGTTCCACTTGGCTCATGGGGCTGCCCACAGCCTCCTGGACTTTAGTACATGTTCTGTCGTTTGCAGGATTCTCTCGGCACCATGGGAATCACTTCCTCTACTGTCACTGAAACACACCTGGGATGTATATTTAAAAATTGAAACAGCTTTTGGCTAAATGAAGCAAAAAAACAATTATCTTCTTTTGTAAAACTATTTAGCCTGCATACAGATTAGCTGACAAAACATGGCTGGAGAATGAGACTGTGAAATTTAACACCATCATACAGCTAGATCTTTTCTGTAGTAATCAGGGAAAATGGTCTGAAGTATCCTATGTGCAAGACTTTCTGGCCCGACAACAAAACCCAGCTCCATGCAGCACCTGTGGGCTAAAGCCTAGTAAGCCACAAAGCCCCTCAGATCCATTAGAAGATCATTTGTTTTATGGGCAAGTGACCCCAGACCCCACAGCCTAATACCAGCTCCAGATAGGGGCCCTCAGAGGCCTACACCTGCTTTAGAATCCCCAGCGTCCCCACACTATCAGAGTCTTCTGTAGAATCTAAGCTTGTTTCATCTCCTCCTTATGCTCCTCTATCAGCCTTTGCCAGTTACAATAGAGACCAGTCCAGCTGCAGTTACTCACAGTGGAGCTTCACACCATGCAGGGCCAGAGAATTTGATCCGCTTACAGAAAGTCTCAAATGGAGAGAGGACCATCAGAGTGCTTCTTCTCTTCCCAGTAAATGATCTAATCCAATGTAAGCAACAGCTCTGATGGCTCTCAGACAACTTCAGCGCGTTTACTGAAGCCTTCCAGTCTCTAACTTTGACCACCATTCAACTTTACCATCCATAAATGGACCCAATGACTGCTGCCAACTCAGCTGCACAAAACTTTTTCTTATTTGCGAAAAATAGAAAAGACTTAAAACTTTTGCTGCTTTCACCATTTTAAAGCAGAATACTTTTGCAGCACAAATGTCACCATAAGGTGGATCCTTGGGAATCCAGTACAAACTATCTCAGAAAATCTCAGTGTGTCCCCAACAGGCAGCAGAGGGCCTCAATAGACTTCAACAACGTCTGGACTCCATGGCCACTGTATTCCAACAAAATCAAAGAGCCTGGGATCTTCTCCCAGCCAAGCAAAGAGGAACAGGTTTATATCTAAAAGAAGAATGCTGTTTTTTGAGATCAATCAGTCTGGTTTATTCCAAGAAAATATTAATAATATCATCACCCAGGCAGACAAAATTGAATCTCTAGGAACTTCCATGGGAACATGAAAGCAATGTCCATTGCCTGCCTTGCTCTCTTTAATAGTACCCGTCATTATTATATTTTCAACTTCTACTTTTGTTCCAATTTTGTTTAAAATGTTAACTGATTTCCTGCTATGTTGCTTGTGGCAACTCCATGTTTGCATGATGGTTTGCAAGGCTTTCAATCTTTGGCTGCCAACATCTTCCCACTGGTTCCACGAACGACATGGTTTACACCCTGTTAGATCACACAGGAAGAAACTTTAAGGCCCAGGCTAGGCAGAAGTAACACCCACTCAGCAGGAAACAGCTCCAGAAAAAGTGGTCTAACCCCTCAACCTCCAATATGGTTATTGCCCTAAAATCTCTTAGGGGGAAATTGAGGCAGAATAGATAGTACAGAAAATGACCATGATCTCGGGATAGAGAAACCATGGTGACTGTACAGCCAAAACAATAAGCCTTAGCATTCGCATTGTAATTTGGCTTATTCGAGCAAAGCTATCCTCATTAAGGACTTTCTGTTCTAGAGAGCATGTGTATTTTGATTTTACCTGCCCTCAAACTTAAATTTTGCTTATTTTAATAGCAAACAATGCACCCCCTAGCCAGGCACGGTGGCTTATACCTCTACTCTCAGCACTTTGGGAGGCTGAGGAAGATGGATCACTTCAAACTAGAAGCTCGAGACTAAACTGGCCAACATAGAGAAGCCCCGTCTAAATTAAAAATACAAAAATTAGCAGGGTATGATGGTGCATGCCTGTAATCCCAGATACTCAGGAGGCAGAGGCACGAGCATGGGTTGAACTCAGGAGGCAGAGGTTGCAGTGAGCAGAGATCACACCACTGCACCGCAGCTTGGGCAACACGGCGAGACTCTGTCTCAAACAAACAAACAAACACACAGAAATACACTCCTGGGTGGAAATATAAGATGCTAACGAGACATGCAACATATGAACAAGCATGTACAGCTACTGCGCATATGCACCCAGAATACCACAGAGAACATGTTTACTAGCAACTCCTCTTCCCTCCTCCTTATTAATAATAATGTAAAACTGCCATAAAGGGGTTTCTCCAGCGACAGTCCACGCTGTCTCACTCTTATGAGCAGTCCGCCCTGGAGTATCTCTCTCAGGGTGTACTGTATTCTGCACTTAACTTTCAAATATTTTCTTTTCCAATAAATTATGCTGTACTTTTTTTCTTTGTGTCTCTTGTTTAAATTCTTAAAATCTAGGAAAACAAGAACAGAGGTATCACATCAGTTGTCAACACAGCAATAAGTCAGCCTCCTTCTTGTAAGCATAGCCCATGTAGAAAAGGAGAGTCGCATCACCTCGGTGCTGGATCCAGAGGTATGTCACAATTTATCCCATGCACAAAGTTAAGGTCATTGAGGAGAGTCATATTAAATAATTTCTGGGCCCAGGGATTTGTCACAACAGCTCCTGTGAGAAGAGATGAGGCAGCATAATCACATAACCGGTGTGCTGGACACAGCGATAAGCCACCTTTCATCTGTGGGCATGACCCAGGCAAGAAAGAAGAGTCACGGCATTTAGGTGCTTGCTGCAGAGGTACGTAACAATCTCTCTTATGGGCAAAGCTCAGGTAAGAGAGAAGAGTCAAATCTCCAAGGTGATTCATGTAGAAATTTGTCACAAGAGACTTTTTAGGCAGGGCCCATGTTGGATCTTCTTATCTTCCAGAAGTTAGGTACAGGGATATGTCAGAATACCCAAAATACACAGGGCTCAGTCAATAAAGAAGAGCCACATCACCCAGGTGCTGGGTCTAGACATATGTCACATCTCTTTTATGGGGAAAGCTCAGGTAAAAAAGGAAGGTCATATCAAATAGTTGATAGACCCAGAGATATGTCACATTGTCTCCTGCTTGAAGTGTCTAGGCCAAAGACTCACATCACATTGGTGCTAGGCCTGTGTTCATATATAAACATTCAACCAGAGTTGAAATGGTGGCTCGTTTCTAAACCCAGCTTATAGGCAAGGGATGAGTCTCCTATCCTGACATAGTTAATTGTAATGATGTTGACTCTCATCCCTGGGCTTAATGTTACAAGTATGATCATGGGTCCCTACCTTTAGGAAGGTCTCAAAGTTGATTACAACTCTCATTCATACAGTATAGGGCCATTGGGTAGTACACAGAGCGTGCTAACTGGGCCGAGCACACAGGTGAGATTGTGAGACTCATATGCATACCCAGCCAACAGTAACTATTGTCATCCTCTCACGGGAACACAAGTCAGTCTGCAGAGGAATTGAGGCTCTCATGCACAAATCCAGTCTGGTGTTGAGATGGTTATTCGTGGGCTTAGACCCAACATACAGGAGGTGTTGAATGTCATGCCTACCACTGAGACAGCTGTGCGATTGTTAATCTAATTCCTGGACCATTCTGCAGCTTCCATTGTCAAATTTCCCAGTGCCTAGCACCTAAGTGACTTGACGGGCTCGCATGGACCCAGCCCACAGATGGGATATTAACATATTGCTGGATCCAGCACATTGAGGATGTAACTCTATTCTCCTTCGTTGGCACTGCCCACAGTGAGCAGTTTGACATATCGCTAGACCTTACACCCAGGTGATGTGAGTCTCCTCTTCTGACTTGGCGCTGCCCTCAGGAAGCGTTGTTATATATAGCTTGGCCTCGCATCCAGGTTATGTGACTCTCCGGCTTGTGCACTGCCCATATGGGACACTGTGTTAATATTGCTGGGTCCACTACTCAGGTGATGTAACCCAACTGCCTGGGCCCTGCCTTACAGGGGCATTGTGACATATCTCTGTGCTCATCAGCCAGGTGATGTGATTCTCTTCTCCTGCCTGGTCCCTTTACACAGAAGGGATTGTGACACGTTGCTGGGCTTAGCACCAAGTTGATGTTGATGTGAATCTTCTGCCTGGATCGAGTTCACAGAAGGCATCGTGACATACCTCTGGGTACATCACCTATTTGATGAGACTCTCCTCTCTTACCTGAGCATTGCCCATAAGAGAGATTGTGACATATCCCTGGGTCTAGCACTGGGATGATGTGAATTCTCTCTGCCTGGGTCATGCCCACAGAAGGAAGTGTGACTTATAACTGGGAACAGCACAGGGGTGATGTGATTCTTCTGCCTGGTCCCTACGTACAGGAGTCATTGTCAAATGCCTCTGGGCCCATCATCTAGACTATGTGACTCTCTACTTCTTCCTAGGGCCTGCTCACATAAGGATTGTGACATATTACATGCCCTACATCATGTGACTTTTCTCTCATGTCTGGGCTCCGTCTTGGAGATGAATGTGACACATACCTAGGCCTGTTACCTAGGTTCTGTAACTTCTCGTTTTTCAAAATCCTACCCACCAGGGGCATTGAAACATCTCTGTGGGCACTTCACTTAGGTAATGTTACCCTGTTACCTGGAGCCTCCCCTCTGGGGGGTATGGTGACATATTGCTGGACACAGTGCCTATGTGATATTCTCTCCTTTCTTGCCTGGGCCTTGTATACATTATGTATTCTAATATACGGCTGGGTTTAATGACTAGGTGATGCAACTCTTATGCATAGGCCCTACCCACAGGGACATTATGACATTTCTTTAGCTCTGACTCTCCTCTTTTGCCTTAGCCCTGCCAAAAAGGGAGGTGGTGACATATAACTGGACCTAGCAACCAGCTAATATGAGTCTCCTCTTTTGCCTGCACCCAGCATATTTTGGGTATTGTGATGTATCCTTTGTCTCAACACCTGCAGGATGAAAGTCTCCTGCCTGAGCCCAGCCATCTGTCAAAATTGTTTCTCCCACATGAACATGGACCATAATTGAGGTTCTGAAACTCACACCCAGAGGCAGTCAAAAGTTGGAAAATTGGCTCTTAAAAGTGGATATTGTCTGCCAGTGGGTTTGTGACTCCCTGACCAAGATCCAAAACACTTGTGAGGCTGTGAGTCCACTAAGATAACTCCGTTTTCAAAAGGGATTAAGGCTCTCATGGAAAAAACCCATTCCTCCATTGAGATTGTGACTTATGCACATAGATACAACGTACAGGAGGCGTTCACTCTCATACCCAGAACCGGAACTTATGTGGGATTGTTAATCTCATCCATGGACCTTCCTGCAGGTGTGATTCTGACATACACCTCTAGCCAGCACCTGAGTGATTTGACATTTTTGCCTGGGTGTAGCCCACAGATGAGATTGTGATATATCTCTGAATCCAGCATCTAATTAATATGCTTCTATTCTCCTGTCTTGGCACTGCCCATAATGGGTATCCTGACCTAACACTGGTCCTGGCACTTTGTTATGTGACTCTGTCCTGTGCTTTGCCCACATGAGCCATTGTGACATATTGCTGGGTCCAACACCCAGGTGATGTAACTCTTGTCTAGACTTTGCCTACAGGGGGCATAGTGACATATCTCTACACTGACCACCCAGGTGATGGGACTCACTTCTCCTGACTGCTACCTGTTTATAGCAGGGATTGTTACAAATCGTTGCGGGCAGACTCTAGGTAATGTGACTGTCTTTTTACAGAGCGCTACCCACAGGAGCCATTGCAAAATATCTGTGGGCCTCTCACTCTTTGCCTGGGCTCATTTCTCAGGGGTATTGTGACATATGGATGACCTCAGCACCGAGGTGAACTGAGTTTCTTCTACTGTAGGGCTCTGACCAAAGAGAGATTACAATGTATCACCGGGCCCAGCACCTGAGCTATTTGACTATCCGCTCTTGGCTGCATCCTACATTTATTGTGTATTGTGACATATCACTGGGTCCAACACGTAGGTAATGTGACTCACCTGCATGGGCCATTTCCCCATGGGTACTATGAAGTATCTTTTTGTTCATCACTTAGGTGATGCAACTCTCCTCTTTGCCTTGGGCCCCACATAATTTAGCTATTGTGATGTATCACTGGGCCAATCACCTAGTCAATAGGAAGTTTCTGCCAAGACCCTGACTACTGAGGGCCTTGTGACATAGCTCTGCATTTATCACCTAGAAAATATGATCCCCCCCATTTCTGCCTGAACCCTGCTCACAAGAAAAATTGTAGCATACTTCTGGGCCCAGCAAACAGGTGATGTGTTTCACCTGCCTGTGCTTAGTTCACAGGGAAAATTGTGACATATCACTGGGCCCAGAACCCAGGTGAGGTGACTCTGCTGCATGTGTCGTGCTTTCAGGAGAGAACAAGAACATATCCCTGGCAGAACTCTTAGGGATGTGACTCTCTTGCCTTGTCCCTGTCCTCAGGGAAGACTGCAACATGTCCCTGACACAGACCCAGGTGATGAGACTCTCCTGCTTCTGACTACCCAAATGTGAGATTGTCACATATATTTTGGCCTAGCATGTAGGTGTGATGATGACATTCATACCTTAAACCAACCAATAGCAGAGATACTTTCTCTCACAGCCAGGCTTAACAAAACTTGCAAAATTATGGGTCTTCTCTTACTATGAAGGTCAGAGAAAGTAAGCACTCTTGCATATCCTATAAAGCACTCAGATGGTACAGTGTCATCACAGGGCCCAGAACACAGGTGAGATTGTGTTCTCTGTGTGCACACCCACCAATCATCAGAATTGTCATTCCTACACAGGAACAGAGGTGATTAGGGAGGTCTAAACCTCATACCTGAATGCCGTCCACAGCTGGAATTGTAACTATCACATGTGAACATCCAGTCACAGTTGGGATAGTGACTTATTTCTGAACCCAGTTTACAGCCAAGTAAAGATCCTCTTATCTGGATCCAGCCAGCTGGAGAGATGTTGACTCTCATACCTGGACTTATGGCCACAGGTATGATCATAGGTTCATATCAGCATGAAGACGTCAGAGTGGATTATGTTTAATGCATACTCTACAAGGTCCACAGGAGGTACATAGTGTCCTAACAGGGCCCAGCAAACAGGTGAGATTCTAACACTCATGCACACTCTGGTGACAATAAAAGTTACCATCCTCAAAAATGGGTACAACCGGCATGGCTCAGTGGCTCACGCCTGTAATCGCAGCACTTTGGGAAGCCGAGGCGGACAGATCATGAGATCAGGAGATCAAGACCATCCTGGCCAACATGGTGAAACCACGTCTCTCTACTATTTATGATTATGATTATGATTATGATTATGATTATTATTTTGAGACAGAGTCTTGCTCTGTCACCCAGACTGGAGTGCAGTGGCACCATCTAGGCTTACTGCAACATCCGCCTCCCTGGTTCAAACAATTCTCTTGTTTCAGCTTCCCGAGTAGCAGGGACTACAGGCTCATGCCACCATTCCCAGCTAATTTTTGTATTTTTAGTGGAGACGGGGTTTCACCATATTAATTAGGCTGGTCTCAAACTCCTGACCTCAGGTGATCCACCCACCTCGACCTCCCAAAGTGCTGGGATTACAGGCATGGGACACTGTGCCTGGCCACCCCATCTCTACTAAAAATACAAAAATTAGCTGAGCGTCGTGGCACGTACCTGCAATCCCAGCTACTCGGGAAGCTGAGGCAAGAGAGTTGCTTGAACCCAGGAGGCAGAGGTTGCAGAGAGCCGAGATCGCCCCACTGCACTCCAGCCTGGCGATAGAGTGAGACTCCGTCTCAAGGGACCAAAAGAAGAAAGAAAGAAAGAAAGAAAGAAAGAAAGAAAGAAAGAAAGAAAGAAAGAAAGAAAGAAAGAAAGAAAGAAAGAGAGAGAAAGGAAGGAAGGAAGGAAGGAAGGAAGGAAGGAAGGAAAAGAAAGAAAGAAAGAGAAAGAAAGAAAGGAAAAGAAAGAATTAAAGAAGAAAGAAAGAGAAAGAAAGAAGAAAGAAAGAAGAAAGAAGAAAGAAGGAAGGAAGAAAGAAAGAAAGAAAAAGAAAGAAAGAAAAAAGAAAGAAGAAAGAAGAAAGAAAGAAAGGAAAGAAAGAAAGAAAGAAAGAAAGAAAGAAAGAAAGAAAGAAAGAAAGAGAAAAATTGACTCTCATATATGGATCTTGTCCACAGGTAGGTGGGTGAGTCTCAAACCAAAATTCATTACATCTGTGAGACTGTAACTCTCCTAAGGGGACACGGTCAGCCAGAGAAGACACATTTATGAATCCAGTTCACTGTTGAGATTGAGACTGGTGTACTTAGGCCAAACATACAAATTCTCATACCTGGAATCCGGACATGTGTGGAGTTGTTCATCTCATCCCTGTCGCTTTCTGCAGGTGGGATTGTGACATACATCTCTGCCCAGCTCCTGAGTGTTTTAGCTCTGTTTCCTGTGTCCAGCTCACAGATGGGATTCTGATATATCACTGAAGCCAGCACCTAGATGATGTGACTCTTATCTCCTGCCTTAGTGCTGCCCACAGGGGACATTGGGACATATCACTTGGCCTTGCACCTAGGTAATGTATGTTTTCTGTCTTGCATTAGTGCTACTCACAGGGGTGTTGTGATGTATTGCTGGGTCCCACATCCATGTTATGTGACTCTTCTGCCTGTGCCCAGTCCACAATGGCCATTTTGACATATTGTTGCATCCAAAACCTAGATGATTTAGCTCTCCTTCCTGAGCTTTGCCTAAGGGGACATTGTGAAATATCTATGAGCCCATCACCCATGTGGTGTGATTTTCTTCTCCTGCCTAGTCCCTGCTTAAAGAAAGGATTGTGACATATCACTGTGCCCAGCACCTAGCTCATGTTACTCTTCTTTTGTTTTTTAGGATTTGTTTGGAAGGAGATTGTGATACATTGGTGGGTCCAACTTCTCGGTGACATTACTCTGTTGACTTTGCTCTGCAAGCAGAAAGCACTGTGACACATTATTGGGCCCAACACCAAGGTGAGTCTCCTGCCTGAAGCCTGCCTACAGCAATTTGTAACATATGGCATTGGGACATATCTCTGAGCCCATCAACTATTTGACAAGATTCTCCTTTTTTAACAAAGGCTTTGCCCATAGGAGAGATTGTGACATAATTCTGAGCCCAGAAAATAGGGGATATTTCTTTTGTTTTCTGCTTGAGCCCCACATTGTGATGTATTTCTCCTCCCAACAACTGAGGGAAGGGAAAGTCCTGCCTGGGTCTTGCCTACAGGGAGCCTTGTGAAATCTTTCCGCGTTCATCACCTTAAATATGTGACCCTCATCTTCTGCCGTGGCCATGTTTACAGAAGGGAGAGTGGGTTATTCCTAGACCCAGCACACAGGTCATGTGATTCTGCAACCTGGTGTCTCCAGAGGGGTCATTTTGACATATCTCTAGACTCATCAACTAGATAATGTAATGCTCCTCTTCCCCCTGAAACCTATCCATAGTGGAGATTGTGAAATACAGCCTGGCACAGCACCTACATGATGGTACTCTCTTCTCATGCTTGGGTGCTGCCCACAGGGGTGATTGAAACTTATAGCTGGGTACAGTCTTCAGGTGATGTAACTCTCCTCTATTTTTGGGCCCACACACACAGGGCACTACCATATAGCTCTGCTCCTCAGACCTAGGTGATGTGACTCTGCTGTCTGTTACCTCCTCTTAGGGGGAATTGTGATATATTGCTGGGCCCAGAACCGAGGTGATGTGGCCTTTTCTCTTGCCTGGGCCCTGCATACATGGTGTACAGTAACATATATCTGGGTTGAACACATAGGTGATGTGACTCTTCTGCATAGGTCTCGCCAACAGGGGTATTATGACATACTCTTCTATTCATTGCCTAGGCGATGTGACTCTCCACTCTTACCTGGGCCCTTCCAAAACAGAGGATTGTGACATATCAGTGACCCTACCACCAAGGTAATGTGACTGTTCTCTTTTGCCTGGGTTTGCATATTTTGGGTATTGTGACATATCCCTGGGCCCAACACTTAGGGAATAAAAGGTTTATTCCTCTACCTTACGTGCAGTGAAGCTTGTGACATATTTCTACATTCATCACCAAGAAGATGTGACTCTTCTGCCTGCATCCTGAACACAGAGAGGATTGTGAAATATTGCTAGATCCAGCATGCAGGTGATGTGTCTCTGCTGCCTGGTTCCTAATGTGAGGAGTGGATTCCAACATACCAATGCCTGAACATTCAGGTAATGTGACTGTTGCCTGGTCCCTGTCCTCAGGGAAGCGACATATCACTGGCCCAGCGTCCAACTGATTTTACTCTCCTGCTCTCTTCCTATATGCAGGTGTAATTGTGACATATATCTTGGAACACAACACACAGGTGCAATGATGACATTCATATGTCAAACCAGCCAATAGAAGAGATACTGCTTCTCCTAGCTACACTTAGGGAAATGAAAAAAAACCCTAGGTCTCCTCGCTAAGATCATCCACTCTCTCACATATTACAGAAAGCCCTCGGGTGGTAGAGAGTCTTATCACAGGGCCCAGCACACAGGTGAAATTTGTTACTCCTATGCGCACCCTGAACCCTCCTGACCATTATGATTTTCACCCTCACATATAAACAGAACCCACTGGTGAGGTCCTGAATTTCACACATGAATGCAGTTTATAGTTGGAATTGCGAATCTCATATGTAAAGATCTGGCCAGAGTTGGAATGGGAACTTTGTTATAAACCCAGCGCATAGAAAGCTGATGATTCTCTTATCTGGACCCCGCCAATTGTAAAGATGTTGACTCATATAGGCTTAGGGCCACAGGTTTGATCATGGGTCCATACCAGCATGAAAATCTCTGAAAGAATTGAGACTGTCATGCATACAACATAAAGCCGTCAGGTGCAACACAGAAAGTCCTAATAGGGCTCAGCACACAGTAATATAATGACATTGGGATGCACACCCAGCCAACATTAAAGATTGTCGTTCTTTCACATGATCATAGTTCACTTTTGAGGCTCTGAATCCCATACCCAAAGGCAGATTGACAAGTTGAAAAATTGACTCTCATATTTGAGAGTCACAGATGTGTTGATGACTCTCAGATCATGAGTCAGCACACCTAGGAAGCTGTGATTTCAATTAGGGGACAAAGTACGCAAGAGAAAATGGGGCTGCCATGCACAAATTTAGTCCACTATTGAGATAGTGACTTGTGTACTTAGATCAAACATACAGAAGGTGTTCACTCTCATGCGTAAAACCAGAATATGTGCGGGATTCATCCCATATCTGGACTTTCCTGCAGGTGTCATTGTGACAAGCATACACATTTGTCCAGCACCTGAGTGATTAGACTCTTCTGTTTAAGCCCAGCTCACAAATAAAATTGGGACATATCATTGGACCTAGAACATAGGTGATGTGGCTCTATTCTCTTGCCTTCGTGCTGCCCACAGGGAGCATTGTAACGTATCACTGAACTTAACACCTAGGAGATTAGAGGCTCCTGCCTGAACTCTGTCCACAGTGAGCCTTGTAGCATATTTCTGCTTCCAACACCAGATGATGTGACTCTCCTTTCTGCCTGCACCTTGCCCACAGGAAAGATTCTGACATATCACTGGGCCCAGTAATCAGTAATCAGGTGATGTTTCTCTCCTGCTATGGTCTTGCCCACAGGGAGTGTGGTGACATATCACTGAGCTCAATATTCAGGTGATTTGACTCTGCTGCTTGTACTCTGATTTCAGGAGGGGATTGTAACATATCCCCTGTGAGCACACAAGTGATGGGACTCCCCTCCTAGCCTCTGACCTCAGAAAACATTGTTACATATCCCTGGCCCAGCCTTAGGTATGTGACTCTCCTACCTGTTCCCTGCCATCAGGGAAGATATTGACAGATCTCAGGCCAAGCATCCCGGTGACGTGACTCTCCTGCTCACTCCCTACCCACAGAAGAGATTGAAACATATATCTTGGCCAGCTCACAGGTGTAATAATGACTCTCATACCTCAAACCTGCCACTAAGAGAAATGCTGTTTTTCATAGGGAGGCTTTGGAAAACCGGTAGGTCTTAACTCTTCCTTTTGTATGAAGGACTTAGAGGAATACAACTCTCTCATATTATATAAAGCTCTTAAATGGTACAAAGAGTGTTATCACAGGGATATGTTGCATAACCTAGGGGAGGGGCCCAGTTATATGTCACAATTAGCCCAGGGGGCAGGGCACAGGCATGAGAAGAATCTCACCTCATATGTGCTGGCCTAAGTGATACATCATCATCCCCACTGTGGACAGGTCGCAGTAAGAACAGGAGAGTCACATCATTCTAATAATGGTCTCAGATATACATCACAATGACTCCCCTGGGCAGAAACAAGGGATAAGGTTCACATCACCTGTGGGCTAGGCCCAGAGATGTCACTCTTACTTCTGTGGGCATGTCTCAGGCTGGAGAGGAGAATCACATTACCTAAGCACTGGATCAAGAAATACTTCACAATCTTTCTCATGGGCAAAGCCCAGGTAAGAGAATAGAGCCATATCAAATAGTTCATGGGCTCAGAGATATGTTACAATGCTCCCTGTGGGCAGGGTTCAGGTAGGACAATCACATTACCTTGGTGCTTGTTCAGCAATATATCCCAAAGCCTTCTGAGGGCAGAGCCAAGACAAAAGAGTAAAATCATTTTGGTGTTTTACAAATAGATATGTCACAATCTCCCCCGAGGGCAGAACCTGAAAAAAGGGAAGAGTCACATTAGCTAAATGCTGCGCCGGGTGATAAGTCACAATTCACCCTGTAGGCAGAGACTAGACAGAAGATAGAGTCACATCATCTAGTGGCTGGTGCAGAGATATGCCACCATGCCCTCTGTAGGCAGAGTTCAGACAGGAGAGTTATGTCACCTGTGTTTTGGACCCAGAAATATGTCACAAAAGCCCATGGACAGAGCACAGGAAAGACAGGCACATAACCTGAATATCAGCTTCAGTGGTATGTCCCAATGCCTCCTGTGAGCATTCCAAGGCAGGAGAGGAGACTCACATTACCTGTGTGCAAGACCCAGTGATACGTCACACGGAGGAGTACCACTGTCATGCATATTGTGTAAACTATGGTAGAGAAATTGTCACCAAAGGGCTCAGCACACTGGTGAGATTATACTTCTCAGATTCACACCACACCAATATTCAGGATGGTCTCTATCACACGTGGAGAGAGCCCACTCTTGAGGTCCTGAATTACACATGCAGACATAGTCCACAACTGGGATTCTGACTTTCATATGTGAACATCCAGCCACAGGTGGGATGGTGACTCATTTTTAAACGCAGCTCATAGGCAGTTAAGAACTCTTATTTGGACCCATCCAAGTAGAAAGATGTTGACTGTCATACCAGGGCTTAAAGCTAAAGGCACAAGGAGGGGTCCGTGCCTGCTTAAGGTTTCAGGGAGAATTGTTACATTCATGCATACTCTATAAAGGCTTCATATGGTGAAGAGAGTGTCCTGACAGGGCCCAGAACAAAAGTAGATTGTGACACTCATATCTACTCTGAGCCAAGAGTAAAAATTGTCATCTTTTCACATGAACACAGCCCACTGTTGAGGTTCCAAATCTCACACCTGGAGGCGGTTGAGAGATGAATAATTGACTCTCATAAGTGGATGCGATCCATGTTTGAGTCAGTGACTCTAAAACCAACATTCAGCAAACACGTGACGCTGTGACTCCATTAAGGGGCCACGGTCCTCGGGAAAGACTGAAGCTGCCATGCACAGATCCAGTGCACCATTGAGACTGTGACTTGTACACTTACACCCAACAAACACAATGTGTTTGCTCTCACACCTAGATATGGGACATGTGCAGGATTGTCAGTCTCAGCCCTGGACTTTCCTGGAGGTATAACTGTGAAATATATCTCGGCCCAGCTCGTGAGTGACTTGACTCTTCTGCGTAGCCCAGCCCATGATAAAATTGTGACATTATTGAACCCAGCACCTATGACCCCCCTCTTCTGCCTGGGTCCTGTCAAAAAGAGAGATTGTGACAAATCACTGGGACAAGCACCCACATGATGTGACTCTCCTCTTTTCCCTGGGCCCTGCATATTTTGTATATTGTGACATACTGCTGGGCATAATACCTAGGGAATTGATGGCTACTGCCTGAGCCCTGTTCACAGGGGGCCTTGGGACATCTCTCTGCATTCACCACCTAAAAAAAGTGTGTGCACCCTGCCTACAAAGAAGATTGTAGCAGATCACTTGTCTTAGCAACCAAGTGATGCGAGTCTCCTGTCCTGCCTTGGTGCTGCTCACAGGGGACATTATAACATATACTTGGTGCTGGCCCCATGTTTTGTAATTTTTCTGCCAGGGGTCTACCATATAAGCTATATTGCTGGGTCCAACACCCAGGTTATGCAGCTCTCCTTTCCGTGCTCTGCCTACAGGGGACATTGTGACTTATCTCTGCACCCATCACTCAGGTGATGTGACTTGCTTCTGCTGACTGATTCCTGTTCAAGTGGACATTGTGACATATCAATGGGGGCACCATCTAGCTGATGTAACTATTCTCTTCTGCCTAGGTTCTTCCTGCAGTGGAAATTGTGATGTATCACTGGGCTTAACACCAAAGTGACATTAATTTTTTGCCTTGGTTCTTCCCTCAGAAGACATTGTAATATATTGCTGGGCTCAGCACCAAAACGATGTGGATTTCCTGTCTGGACCCTGCATACAGGAGTCCCTGTGACATATCTCTTGACTCATCAACTATTTGATGTGACTCTCCTCTGTTCCCTGAGCTTTGCCTATAGGAAAGCGTCAGCCTGGACTCCAGAGTCAGCCACCCACCCCTGCACAGACAAGGAGAGGTCTCATTAAGCTTCAGCACAGTCTGGGACCATAGCTTTTTTTGTAACGATTTGTTCGGCATGAGGCCCACTCACAAGGGCCCTTCGTGACTGGACTCAAGGAAAACGAAAAGGCCTACTTGTTTTTGCGATTTTCTGTTGTTTTTCAATAACTATTTCTCAGAAACAGTGCTGGATGAATTCCACAAGGGGTTCACACAACCTGTTCCAGGACTTAGTGACCATTGTTTCTGTCCATGTTCATTGAGTTCAAATTTAATATTTAACTTTTCCTCCTCATTCAGCCTCAATTTGACACTGAATCATAGGAAAATATTTTTACAGTTATACGGGGAAGTCACAACTGGTATAGATTACAGATAGAGCAGAGGAGAATTAAAAGCACAATTAATAGAAACCACACCCACCACGGCCAACGCCAATGCTAGTTTGACAGCCAGTCCATGATGGGGTCCTGATGGTTAGATTCTAACTGTTTTACTTGTCCTTGCATGTCTTCGGCAAGGAGAGTAATACTGCGAGAACTGTCAGGGATACACACAACATTCAGAATGCAGCAAGACTCAAACCCCTCCTTGGGCTGCGGTAAACATACCTAATGCCATTCGATTTTGCAACACAACAGTACACAGCTGAACAAGTTCTTCTGATAACAACAGAAGTCCAGTGCTACTATCTTAGGAGCTTTTACTATATGTGGACTTAATATTTTAATTTGTTGCTGAAGCAGGATTGTACGAGGGGCAAGGGAGAATACTGTGATAGTTTTCCACCACCAGGGAGTCTGGCACGTTCATAACCAGCTACCTTTGTAAGCATCTAGATTATTGGGGAAGGGAATATTATCCCGGATGGTGAATGGAATTAATGGCACCCCCAAGTGAATCTCCCCATCCAATAAGGGGGCAGATAGGCCACCCATAGGGTCTGCATACCCAGAGGGCCCCCCAGGGGACAGCAATGGTTATACTACAATTATAGTGTATTAAGATGTTATTAAAGTAGCAAAGGAAGTCCAGGTTGGATTGCAAGTGTTGTTGTTTTGGCCCCATTTGTAGTGACAGAGCCATTCAGAAATATTGGCAAGGACAACTCTGCAAGGCAGTCCATTTCCTGTGGCCTCTGGCAATTTGATGCATAGCCAGCATTGACTGCGGTTAGCTTCTGTCGCAGTGGTTGCTGCCCAGTTGATGAATTCACTCTCCACCTCAGACCTGATGACCCAGGTACTGATTACTAGTAGACAGGTTATTCTCTGTAACAACAAAACTGAAGGGGAACATAATATTGTTTTTCATTTTTAGGAAACTGTACTACCCTTTTATTTTCTGCTCCCATACCTACAAGGTCACAGCCTTAGGGGCGGGATCTGATGGAGGCTGTATCCATATTTTCGTTCCAGGATTTAAGCTACCTATACCAGTGGATCTTAATTTCCCAGTTCTGTACGTAGCCTCTGTTGGGGCAGAGATTTCCTCAGGGGTTAATTGTTAACAAGGTACCAGGTACCACTGACAATTGAGCAACCCGAATCTGCGGTCTTGTAACAAAAGAATGTGGAGTGGTATTGTGTAAAGTGAACTTTAACTGTTCCTGGTAATCATTATCAATTATACCACCATACATTATAATGTGTCTCATCGCCAGGCTTGAATGTGTTGTAATCCATTCACCCACATTCAAGTTTGCATTTATGCTGGAAATTTTGGCCTGTTGATCTACCTGCTGTTTAGTCTGTCAAGAGAATGCAGAGATGCATGAGAATCAATATGAAAAACAGCAATAATAGTAATGTGCATCAGGATTCAGGTATCTTCCTAGTATTGTTTTCTCCAAACCTCTTTATTCATTATTCACTATTTGTTTCATTGCCATTCGGGCAACTAGGTAGTAAGACCATTTTCTGCTGACCAACAGTCGGTATACAAGCAACAAATTGCTCTGGCCTCCTCCTGAATAGTTCGGAGGATGGCTTCTAGTTCAGCCAGCTGGCTGCTCACACCCCTCCCTTCATCAGAAACGCTTATGTTTTTAACAGGATTATAAGCCACGGCCTCCCAGCATCAGGTCCCATCAATGTATTTGGTGGAACTATCAGTAACCAAGCGTGTTTCTGATCCTCTGGGCTTAGTTCTTTAAAGGATTTGCCCCATTGGGCAGGGGAGGTTTCCTTCCCTATATGCAGGACTTGCCCTGTGGTTTCCTGAGTTGGCAAGTTTTGCACATCTTCAAGTAAAAATGATACCGCTTTTAGTTCTGGCTTATCCTGGTCTTGTATGTACCATTTCCATTTTATGATACTACATTCTTGAGTGTACCCTATCCAATGGGTTTTGAGGGAGCTCATGACCCAAGTCATAATAGGAATTTGGGGCCTCATAAAAACATCATGATTAAAACAAAGGTGTTCTGCTTCCTTCAAGCGCAGTAGAAGGCCAACAGCTGCTTCTCAAAGAGTATAAGCTTTGCCAGCCTCTGGCAGCTTCTGGGTCTAAAACTCCAAAGGTATCTTCTTCCCATCTTGTTTCTACCTAAGGCTCCAATTAGCATGTTGATGTAGGACAGTTACTTGCAGTTCTGTTGACTCATCCTATAAGGGCCATAGATCCAGGGCCAGTTGCTCAGCTTGTTTTGCTTGTTGAAAAGCCAGGCTGTCTTTCTCTCTCCAGTGATATTCATAGTGTTTTCTAGTGACTGCATGCAGAGGTTGTAATATGTTACCCAAGTGGGGAATATGATGTCTCCAGAATCCAAACAAGCCAATACAATTTTGGACCTCCTTTTCAGTGGTAGGGCTGCAAATTCTAGTATTTTAGCGTTAGCCTTTGGTAAAATGGACTGTTTCCCTGCAGTCCATAGGATGCCAAGGAACTTTACACTTTGTGCAGGCCATTGAATTTTATTAGAGTTAACTTCCCATCCTTGAGATAGGATTTGGGTTTTTACCCTCTTCTGCCCTGAAAACTGACTAGTTATTCAGTTTTACCCTGACTGGGCAACTCGGACAGCTGCTTTTTCAGCAATAGGCTGATAGCTTTGAGCCTGATCAGTCAAGACAGGCCTGGCATGGTACCAGGGTCAGTCTGGAAGTCAGATTAAAATTTTCCTTTTCCAGCTTACATTTCTCTTGTAACAACCAGTCCCTACATTGACACTTTAACTTATAAGAAGTAAGCAAGCATCATCAATGCTGGGAAATTCCCTCAGCATTACAATTACCAACTGGGACTCCCTGCTGCACCTCACGCACAGCCAGTGATTCAAACAAACTTTATCCCACTTAAATGGCAATGCAGATATAATAAGCAAATATATAAGCAAGTTGCAATGGGACGGGGAGAAGGGAAAAGATATATATATATATTTAAACTCACCAAACTATGGAGGATTCACCACAAGACTGTGAAGCAACAGCCTGGGCTCCAGATTGGCCACTCATCCGTCCACAGACAACGTGAGATCTCATGAAGCTTTGGCGCAGTCTGGAACCCCAGCTCTTTTTGTAATGAGTTATTTGGCATGAAGTCCGGTCAGGAAGGCTATTCACAACGGGGCTCAAGGAACACAAAAAGGTCAACTTGTTTTTTTGATTGTCTATTGTTTTTCAATAACTAAGATATAGGAATAAATTGAAATAGAGATTTATCTGAAACAGCGCTGGATGAGGGCTTCAAGGGGCTCACACAACCTGTTCCGGGACTTGGTGACCATTGTTTGAGTCCATGTCCAATTTAGTTCAAATTTAATATTTACCTTTTACTCCAAAAAGTGTCAAAAGTAATTCCTTCAAATGCAGGAAATTATGTAGCTACTCACAAACTAAACTTCTCAAACAAAAGTCATAAATAGAGTACAGAGATAAAAAATAAAATAAAATCTAACTACATCTGTCTACAGGGGATTCAATTTATTTATTTATTTATTTATTTTAGAGACATGGTATTGCTTTGTTTCCCAGGCTGGTCTCAAACTTCTGGGCTCAAGTTAACCTCCCACCTCAATCTCCTAAAATGCTCGGATGACAGATATGAGCCATCTTACTATATAGTAACAAAAACAGACTAAAAGTGGCAAGATGCATCAAAACAATTTTATGCAAATCGTAATGAAATGAAGACAACGTCACGAGCACATTATGCAAAATACTTTTTAAATAACTGTCTTAGTTTATAAAATAAATTATAAGTTAAAACTGTCAAAGAAAACAAAGGACAAAATAATAAAAAAGTTTATTCACTGGAAACCTAGGAAAATTATATACATTTATATAATATACATTTATATAATTGTGTGTATTTATCTAATTATGTATACAGACACACATATATATGAACCTCACATGAAGATTTTAAAATAAATCAATAATATTTTGTCAGAACATAAACAAAAAACTGCAATATACTGAGAACAATATTTTAATACACCAGTTCTGTAATTAATAATAAAGCCAGAGAGAATGTTAAGAAGAAAACAGAGGACATGAAAATACTGTAAAACAGTTAGATGTAACAGATGCATAGAGATCACTCTACACAACAACAAAACTCACAGTCTTGTCAAAAGCTCATAAAACATTGTCCTAAAAATAAATATAAGGAAAAAAATTTTTTAACAGAATTAAAAAAAATTGAATGTTACAGAAAACACTTCAAAAAATCAATCAACCCAGGAGCCGGTTTTTTGAAAAGATTAACAAAATAGATAGACCACTAGTAAGACAAATAAAGGAGAAAAGAGAGAAGAATCAAAGAGACGCAATAAAAAACGACAAAGGGGATATCACCACGAAACCCACAGAAATACAAACTACCATCAGAGAATACTATAAACACCTCTACGGAAATAAAGTGGAAAACCTAGAAGAAATTGATAAATTCCTGGAAACATCCACACCTCCAAGACTAAACGAGGAAGAAGTTGAATCTCTGAGTAGACCAATAGCAGGTTCTGAAATTGAGGCAATAATTAATAGCTTATGAACCAAAAAAAGTCCATGACCAGACGAATTCACAACGGAATTCTACCAGAGGTACAAAGAGGAGCTGCTACCATCCCTTCTGAAACTATTCGAATCAAGAGAAAAAGAGGGAATCTTCCTTAACTCATTTTATGAGGTCAGCATCATCCTGATACCAAAGCCTGGCAGAAGCACAACAAAAAAACAATATCCCTGATGAACATCAATGCAAACATCCTCAATAAAATGCTGACAAACCAAATCCAGCAGCACATCCAAAAGCTTACCCACCACGATCAATTCAGCTTCATCCCTGGGATGCAAGCCTGGTTCAACATATGCAAATCAATAAACATAATTCATCACATAAACAGAACCAATGACAAAAATCTCATGACTATCTCAATAGATGCAGAAAAGGCCTTCAACAAAACTCAACAGCCTTTCATGATAAAAACTCTAAATAAACTAGGTATTGATGGAACACATCTGAAAATAATAAGAGCTATTTATGACAAACCCACAGCCAATATCATGCAGAATGGGCAAAACCTGGAAGCATTCCCTTTGAAAACCAGCACAAGACAACGATGCCCTCTCTCACCACTCCCACTCAACATAGTATTGGAAGTTCTGGCCAGGGCCATCAGGCAAGAGAAAGAAATAAAGGACATTCGATTAGGAAAAAGAGGAAGCCAAATTGTCTCTGTTTGCAGATGACATGATTGTATATTTAGAAAACCCCATTGTCTCAGCCCAAAATCTCCTTAAATCTGATAAGCAACTTCAGCAAAGTCTCAGGATACAAAATAATGTGCAAAAATCACAAGTATTTCCATACACCAATAACAGATGAACAGAGAGCCAAATTATGAGTGAACTCCCACTCAACAATTGCTACAAAGAGAATAAAATACCTAGGAATCCAACTTACAAGGGATGTGAAGGACATTTTCAAGGAGAACTACAAACCACTGCTCCATGAAATAAAAGCGGACACAAACAAATGGAAGAACATTCCATGCTCCTGGAAAGGAAGAATCAATATCATGAAAATGACCATGCTGCCCAAGATAACTTACAGATTCAATGCTATCCCCATCAAGCTACCACTGACTTTCTTCACAGAATTGGAAAAAACTACTTTGAAGTTCACATGGAACCAAAAAACAGCCTGCATAGGCAAGAAAATCCTACACAAAAAGAGAAAAGCTGCAGGTATCACACTACCTGACTTCAATCTATACTACAGGTCTACAGTAACAAAAACAGCATGGTACTGGTACCAAAACAGATATATAGAGCAATGGAAAAAAACAGAGGCCTCAGAAATACCATCACACATCTACAACCATTGGATCTTCGACAAATGTGACAAAAACAAACAATGGGGAAAGGATTTCTTATTTAATAAATGTTGCTGGGAAAAATGGCGAGCCATATGCAGAAAACTGAAACTGGATTTCTTCCTTACACCCTATACATAAATTGACTCAAGATGGATTAAAGACTTAAATGTAAGACCCAAAACCATAAAAACCTAAGAGAAAACCTGGGCAATACCATTCAGGACATAGGCATGGGCAAAGACTTCATGACTAAAACACCAAAAACAATGGCAACAAAAGCCAAAATAGACAAATGAAATCTAATTAAACTTAAAAGCTTCTACACAGCAAACGAAACTATCATTAGAGTGAACAGGCAACCTACAGAATGGGAGAAAATTTTTGCAATCTACCCATCTGACAAAGGACTCACATCCAGAATCTACAAAGAATTTAAACAAATTTACAAGAAAAAAACGAGCAATCCCATCAAAAAGTGGGCAAAGGATATGAACAGACACTTCTCAAAAGAAGACATTTATGTAACCAACAGACATGAAAAATTGCTCATCATCACTGGTCATCAGAGAAATGCAAATGAAAACCACAATGAGATACCATCTTACGCTAGTTAGAATGGGGATCATTAAAATGTCAGGAAACAACAGATGCTGGAGAGGACGTGGAAAAACAAAAACGCTTTTACACTGTGGGTTGGAGTGTAAATTAGTTCAAACACTGTGGAAGACAGTGTGGTAATTCCTCAAGTATCTACAACCAGAAATACCATTTGACCCAGCAATCCCATTACTGGGTATATATCCAAAGGATTATGAATCATGCTACTATAAAAACACATGCACACGTATGTTTATTGTGGCACTGTTCAGAATAGCAAAGTCTTGGAACCAACCCAAATGTCCATCAATGATAGACTGGATTAAGAAATTGTGACACATATACCCCATGGAATACTACGCAGCCTTAAAAAAGGATGAGTTCATGTCATTTGCAGGGACATGGATGAAGCTGGAAACCATCATTCTCAGCAAACTATCACAAGGACAGAAAAACAAACACTGCATGTTTTCACTCATAGGTAGGAGTTAAACAATGAGAACATGTGGACACAGGACAGGGAACATCAAACGCTAGTGCCTGTTTGGGGGTGGGGGGCTATGAAAGGGATAGCATTAGGAGAACACTTAATGTAAATGTTGAGTTGATGGGTGCAGCAAACCAACATAACACATGTATACCTGTATAACAAACCTGTACGTTCTGCACATGTATCCTAGAACTTAAAGTATAATAAAAACTGAAGGCTACAGACTATAATTTCTGACCAAAATGGATTAAAACTAGAAATCAATAACCGAAGAAAATTCATAAAATTCACAAATACATGATAATTAAACAATTTATTCTTCAACATGTTTTTGTTCAAGAGTTAAAAATTTAATATTTTGAACGTGTCTATAATGCCCAAAGTGAGCTGCAGATTTAATACAATCCCTATGAAATTCTTAATATTATTTTTGACAGAAACAGAGAATGTGACTCCCCAAAGTATACGGAATTTCAGGGGACCACATAAAAAAAGTTGGAAGCATTACAATTCCTGATTTCAAGACATGTTAGAAATCTACAGTAATCAAAATCTTATGTTACTAGCATAAAGACAGACAATTAGACTAATAAAAAAATCTTTGCCACTGCTGCAGACAGTGCCTGCATCATCCTGCAGACTGACAATGATCATTTTGCTGCTGATGACTTTAAAGTGTGAGACAGACCTGGCCATGTGCCAGTTTGTGGAGTGCGACATTACTGATAACACCAGTGTCAGTCAGCCTCTGCTGGAGACAGAGATGGAGGCCCTCAAGGAAGAGCTGCTCTTCATGAAGAATCATGAGGAGGAAGTTAAAGGTCTATAATACCTGATTTCCAGCTCTTGGTTGACCATGGAGGTAGATGTCCCCAAGTCTCAGGACCTTGGCAAGATCATGACAGGCATCTGGGCCCAATATGACGAGATGGCTGAGAACAGCTGAGAGGAGCTGGACAAGTACTGGTCCCAGCAGACTGAGGAGAGCACCAGAGTAGTCACCATGCAGTCCGCTGAGATCGGAGCTGCTGAGAGGATGCTCAGGGGGTTGAGATGTACAGTCCAGTCCTTGGATATCGAACTGGACTCAATGAGATATCTGAAAGTCAGCTTGGAGAACAGCCTAAGGGAGGTAGACGCAGATGGAGCAGCTCAACAGGATCCTGCTGCACCTGGAGTCAGAGCTATCCCAAAACCGGGAAGAGAGGTACCACGCCCAAGAGCACGAGGACCTGTGGAACATCAAGGTCGAGCTGGAGGCTGAGATTGCCACTTACTGCCGCCTGCTAGAAGACGGGGAGGATTTCAATCTCCTGGATGCTCTGGACAGCAGTAAATACCTGCAAGCTATCCAAAAGAACAGCCCCCGCAGGATAGTGGACGGGAAAGTGGTGTCTGAGACCAACAATACAGACTTTTTGTTGTGCTAAGCCATCAGAAGCAAGGTCCCTTTGGGGAGCAGGAGGCCAGTAAAAAGTTCAGAGGTAAAAAAAAATTAACTTCAAATCACAGAAGTGTTTCCTTCAACACAAAAGTAATATAGATTCATTAATATATAGAAGTGGAAATTAAGACAATTTCCACAACTACTCACCCAGAGAGGATTAAAAAAATAATTGACCACCAACTAATTAAACAAATACACAAGTCATAAATAAAGTATGAGTAATGTTTATACAAGCAAATGAACAGAGAATTATGTTGGCAATAGACGTGTGGTTGATTCATATTTGACTGATTCATATTCAACTGTACACAGTTGAATATAGTCATACAAAATTATAATATATAGGCAGAATCTAAAAACACAATTAAATAATGTAAGGCAGCCTATCCTAACAAGGAAATACAAGAATATATAATATTAGAAAATAAAATTAAATAAACATTAGCCTGTGAAATACCGAATAAACAAAGCATGCAACGGAAGAAGACTCTTTCCAGATAACTAGCATGTTCAACCATAACTGGGCTCCCATAAAGAGCAGATTTTGAATTCTTAGCATATGGTTAGAGTAACAAAATTGCACAACAAATACATTATAATCTCCCATAAAGAGCATTTAGAAGAAAATTTTAATAAAGATTTCAATGATATTAGAGACACTTTTTATTATGTTCTTAATATATTACTCCTCTTTTTATACAAATGGAAAGGCTATAATTTATTTATTTTTTTTAATTTTTTGAGATGGAGTCTCGCTTTGTCACCCAAGCTGGAGTGTAGTGGCGAGACCTCGGCTCACTGCAACCTCCACCTCCCTGGTTCACGCCATTCTCCTGCCTCAGCCTCCTGAGTAGCTGGGACTACAGGCGCCCACCATCACGCCCGGCTAATTTTTGTGTATTTTTAGTATACACGGGGTTTCACCGTGTTAGCCAGGAAGGTCTTGATCTTCTGACCTCGTGATCCACCCGTCTCGGCCTCCCAAAGTACTGGGATTACAGGCTTGAGTCACCGCTCCTCGCCGGCGATATTTTTTGTAGTTTTAGTAGAGACAGGATTTCACCATGTTGGCCAGGCTGGTCTTGAACTCCTGACCTCATGATCCACCTATCTCGACCTTTTAATGTGCTGTGATTACAAGCATGAAACACAGCACTGGCCTATAATTTATTATTTTTAAAACAAAGAAAAGCCTTACATTTTTACATATGGGAACAACATGAATATTGTAAAATATGCTGTGGAAAACTACAATATAATAAGCAATTAGAAATAAATTATACTATCATTCAGATAAATGTTGAGGAAAGTAAATGGAAACACTAATGATAAGTTTTTCTATGCAGTGAACTTAGACACAAACTAAAACTTTTCTTAATGTGATGTGCATATCATCCAATTCACTTTTTATATAACACATAAATTCAAGTATGTTTTCTGAAACCCCTGAAGCTAAAGTTATAGGCTAATTTGACATACGTAAAAACAGGACAGGGAAAACATACAGATCACAGTCCCACTAAGCTTTATATAAGATTAATTAATAAAATAACTCATTAAGAAATAATGTAACAGTTAAGAATTTGTTCTATTCCTGGCATGTTTCTAAGTTTTTCTATGGATTAAGGTCCTTAAAAATTCTTTGAGATGAGTAGATACAATAAACTATTCCATAGGTGATATGTTTGGCATAGAGAGTTCACATTTCTAAGTTAGTTTCTACTAAGGGAAAGAAAACTTTTTGACCTACATTACCAGAGATGAAAAAAAGAATAAAGTGAAATAGAAGATTCAACTTTATCATATCTGCTGAGGTGCTTTGGGCTCTGATAAATTTTTTTTCTGATTTTTTTGCAGGAACACATTTGAAATAATAGGACTGAAAATTATGAGGAGGAAACATTTGTCCTTGGTGTTTCTGAAATATGTGAACCAAACCCCAATGCCTGCACTTTTGCTCTCACAAACTTCTGACATGAGGCACAGATTTTTACAAAACAGCTTAACATAGAAGTCTCACAAAATGTGCAGATTTCCTCAGATCCCAAAAACAATGGAAAAGCACTCAGACCACAAGAGCTTCATGGGAATAGCAGAAAGAAGAGGTGAACTTTGGCTGTCACTGTGAATGCCCTGGAATGTTAGTGGATGAACAGAGAAGCCTTAGAAGATTTAAGAGCATAATAAGCATAGGGTAGGAAATTTCCACCTGTGGCAGCAAAAGAAGTAAATTTAGAATTTTCCAGAACCAATTTCTTTGAAGCAGAACTTCCAACACCACATTTTTAAGGTTTTCTCCTTGGCCTTTGCACCTCTCATCTTTGTTATTTGTTTATTCTTCCCTATTGGGGTGTTGCCTATTATTCTCTCTCTTTTTACATTCCAAAGACATTTCCTTTACTGTAGGACAGGGGCATCCACGGGAGACTACAGCCATGAGTTCTTAGTTTCTGTTTCTGGTTGAGCCAGTAAGGCCCTTTCCTCATCCCCCTTTTCCACTTATCACTAGACACAGAACCCAAAAACCATTGCTGCAGGCTGCTAAAAACCTAAAACAAAACAGAGCCATAACAAAAACAAAACAAGGCGGGTTGGAAAAGCTTGCTGTACGAGGCAACCAGGTCTGGCTTATATTCACCACATCCCTTCTTCTTTCCCAGAACAGCAATTGGGCTCAAGAGAAAACGTCCAACTTTTAGTATATCCCTCAGTATAGAATGAGAACAGTGGAACATATGTTCAAAGGTTTGGCTTTGTGGGCTACCGCTGATGACTAGATTCTGTCTCCCCAAACAGGGAATGCTAAAGGAAATGGCAGAGTAATGAGAATGATAACTTATGACTGCTGAGAAGAGAAGTTACATGCTTACCACAGCCTCAGAGAAACAAACACTACAATCAACTGCGGAAGCAAAGGACCACAGTGTCTGGAAAACAATGGGAAAAAATATCTTTACCTTAAAAATCCACACACAAGCCCAGAGAAGACACATTGAAGACACTGTTAATGAAGAACCAGGATGTACAGCCTCACTGATTGTTGTATTATCTTGTAGTAAGCAAGTTTGTACATACTACATTACACAGTTGTTTTATAAATTTCTGAATCTCATCAAAAGATTGCAGGGCATACAGAAAAGGACGAAAACATGTCCCAATTGAAGAAATAAAATAAACCTACAAATATTGATCTTTAAAAATCTTTGTTGACTTTTAAAGGTCAAAATTTGTAGGTTTATTCTTTGTTGTTGTTGTTTTTGCATTATATAATTTTGAAAATCAAAATAATTATCAAAGCTCCTTAATGATATGAACACTCCTCCAGTCCGCAGGGCTCCGGCAAGGGAGGAGCTTAGACACCATGCGGGACACCCGGGTGGACCCCCAACCCACGCCCGAGGCTCAGAGCAGGAGCAAGGACCTGGCTGCACCAGGCCGAAGCCGCCTCCACCCCCAGCGGTCGCGGACTCCAGGAGCTCCAGACCTGGGGTCGTGGTGAGATTCGTTGATTGACTGCGCGATGGTGGCTGAGTTGCAACCAAATGGGTTTCATCACCTTAAATGGTTTTGAACCAATGAAGCTATATTCCCTTAAAGAGACGGACAGCCCATCGTGTGAACTATAGAGTTTGTGAACAAATTTATATTGGGTTCATAGTGGCATCATGCACACAGACTCCTGCGAGTTCCCCTAAGTTCTTAGAGGACTGCTTTACCTTTTGATCTGAGAGTTGCAAAGTTCCGTAAAGAATGGCCCTGTGGATAAGCGCTAAGTCAAGAGACAGCGATTGGACAGAATTTGTGAAGGAATTCGCCGCCAGATCACGAAAGACCCCCTAAGCCCCCGCTCACTGGCAGCGTTCCTGGTCGGCCGTGACTGCACTGTGGACATGCCCATCCTGAAGGCCACCGTGGCCTTCTATGATGCAGTCCACGCAGGAAATCCACGAGAAAGTTCTAAACAGAGCCGTGGGCCCCATGATGCACCACACAATCACCTCACCAGGGAGGTTCTGGCAAATTTCAAGTCCTTGAGAGTGATCGTGGGGGTGGGCAGTGGCTATGACAACGTGGACATCAAGGCTGCCAGCGAGCTCGGAATTGCTGTGTGAAACATCCCGTCCGCAGCCGTGGAAGAGACAGCCAATTCCACCAACTGCCACATTCTCAACATGTACCGGAGGAACACATGGCTGTACCAGGCACTGTGGGAAGGCAAGCGGGTTCAGAGCATGGAGCAGATCTGCGAGGTGGCCTCGGGAGTGGCCCGCATTCGTGGGAAGACGCTGGGCCTCATCGGCTAGGGTCGCACGCAGCAGGCTTTTGCAGTTCCAGCCACAGCCTTTGGATTCAGCGTCATGTTTTATTACCCCTACTTGCAGGATGGGATCGAGCAGTCCCTGGGCATGCAGAGGGTCTACACCCTGCAGGATTGGCTGTATCAGAGCGACTGCATCTCCTTGCACTGCAGTCTCAACGAACTTAAGCACCACCTCATCAATGACTTTACCATAAAGCAGATGAGGCAGGGAGCATTCCTTGTGAACGCAGCCCGTGGTGGCCTGGTGGACGAGAGAGCCTTAGCACAGGCCCTCAAGGAAGGCAGGATACGAAGGGCAGTCGTCGACGTGAACGAGTCGCAGCCCTTTAGCTTTGCTCAGGGTCCGTTGAAAGATGCCCCCAATCTCATCTGCACTCCTCTCACTGCCTGCTACAGCCAGCAGGTGTCACTGGAGATGAGGGAGACAGCTGCCACCGAGCTCCGCCGAGCCATCACAGGTCGCATCCCAGGAAGCTTAAGAAACTGTGTGAACGAGGAATTCTTTGTCACATCTGTGCTTTGGTGGGAAATAGACCAGCAAGAAATTCATCCAGGCATCTTGGGCGTGGGTCCAGGAGGACTTCCTGCATCCATGGAAGGGACATTCCCTGGAGGCATCCCGGTGACTCACAAACTCCCCACAGTGGCACATCCTTCCCAAGCACCCTCTCCCAACCAGCCCTCAAACACGGGGACAATCGAGAGCACCCCAACGAGTAATAACAGAGAATGCCGGAAGGTAATCATTCAGATACACTTTTGAAGAAGAGACAGTGAAAAATAGACAAACTAAGAGAAAAAGAATCTGACGCTCTTTTTAGCTGATTCTGGACATATGCTCATTGGTTTTGCACTGTTAAAACTGCAAGACCTAGAAAACTGCAGATGTCGTCTGCTTACGGAAGCTCTGAAAGACTAGGATGTGATTTATTAACCACCAACTTCCGTTATTATGTGTTTAGTTTTTCATCTGTGCATCAAATCACAAAGAATGAATACAATTTTTTCCTTTATCAGTCCCTTGGGCACAGCAGGTCTGGAACACCCTGCTCAGAATGTTGCATCAAGACTTCAAACATCAAAATAAAAACCATGAGGAGGAAATCCCCATCTTGTGACTTGAGTCCCTTCAGTCTACAGGGACTGGTTACAGCATTTTGTTAATAGGAAGATCACATTACTAGAAAATATGGAGTAAACTGTTTGCCTATGGTAGACATCCTCACACATAAGATTGAAGACAGTACCGGCTCCTGTACAGAGAAGCGTCTCTCACATCTGAACTGCATACTGAGCGGGCAAGTTGGTTGTAAGTTCAGTAAAAGCCTCTGATAATGCAAAAAAAAAAAAAAGTATTAAGTTTCACACGCTGTTTGTAATCAAGTATATTTTCTCAGTTTCAGATCCTCTGCTATTTTATTTAGTGGGAAGTCTTGCACTAAAAGGGTTCAAGAAAAATAGTGTTGCATTTTCTTATGTCACAGGAAACACTTTTAATGGTAACTTGTCAGATTGTCTATGAACAAACCCACTTTTTAAGACATTGATAAAGTCTTCTTTTCTTCACGTTGTGTTTTATACAAGAACACTTCAGCTGTATTGGATGTGACTGATTTTAACAAATTATATTAGATTTGCATCAATTAGTTACATGTTCTATTTATAGTCTTTTGTGAATATAGTCTTTTTGTTTAAAAAGATGGCCTGTTTTGATCCTTTGATTAGGTACATTCCCGTTTTTGTAAGAAAAGAGAAATTTTTAAGACTGTCCCAAACAGAAAAATAATGGCTATCAGAAGTACGTTTTGTTTTAGTGTAGTGCGAATTACCGTTACTGTAGTTGTTTATTGTAAAGATGGACATTTAGCATTCAGTGCAGTTTTCAATAAAATGTGATTAGAAAAAACTGCTTAATGAACAAAAACAGAACATAGACAACAAAAGAATATTAGAAGAAGTGATACATAAAGAAAATGAGATATCAATAAAAAGATTTTTAAAAACCAACAATTGTGAATCTGAAGAACATAATAGCTATATTAAAAATTTAATCAACAGTCACAAAAGCAGACTAATAAAGGAGAAAAAATTACACAATTGATGACATTGTAGTTATAAATATTGAGTGATGAAAACAAATTTTTTAAGCAGAATGGAGGAAAAAGTATGGGAAGTACTGCACATGGTCAAGTGGACCATTATATTTATGAAAGGAGTCTTACAAAAACAATATAGGAGAAAAGTAATAAAGAGGTTATTTTTAAAAAGTAGCTGAGAAATCCCCACATGGCAAGATAATTAAACAAGAAGAAATACTTCCAAACAAAAACCTTCAACTGGAGTAATATCACTTCAGAAATAAAAAAACTAAACCTTTCCAAATAAATAAAAGTTGATTGTGTTACTAACCACTAGAACAGTCCTAAAGGAAGTGTAAAAGAGTCTATCACGTCCAAAAAAGAAATGATGCTGCAGAGCATCATAACAGCACATGAAAATAGAAAGCTCTCTATTAAAGGTAAATATATAAACAGGTAAAGAAATCTCTACTGTCATAATCATGGTGCACAAAACTTTCAAAATATTGCCATGGAGTTTAAAACATGAGGCAGAAATCTGCATAAATTTGTGATCATAGACCATAAGGAAAGATAATATGCGATATTAATAAAACAGTGGGGGTGTCAAGAGGTACAACTTTGCATTCAGTTGAAATATAGTTGTTCTATACTGTCATAACTTTAAGATGATTTATGAAGTCTTTATTTCTCAGGATGATTACCAAAAAAAACCTGTAGAATGTATGCAAAGGCAAATGAGAAAGAAATTCAATCACGTCACTACAAAATCAACAAACAGAAATAAAGCAGTAAGAGAAAAAATGATAAATAACACATCTACAAGAAACACAGAAGACAATTACAAATAATAAAGTAACTTCATTAAATGCAGTAATTACTTCAAATATAAAAAGTTAAATACCTTAAAGAAAATTAATAAATAATTTAATGGATTAAGAACAAAGAAGATCCAGCAATTTGCTCTCTACAAGAGTCACTTCAGCTCTAAGGACTCAAATAAGTTGAAAGTAACAGTATAAAGAAAATATATTTTATTCAAAGAGTAGCTAAAATTGGAGGGCCATGGTCATAATTATACTAAACAAAATATATTTTAAATCAAAAATATGAACAAGAGACAGATTGGTATTGTGTTTTTGTTTTTGTTTTTGGAGACAGAGTCTCATTCTGTCACCAGGCTGGAGTGCAGTGGCACGATCTCGGCTCACTGCAACCACAACCTCCCTGGTTCAATCGATTCTCCTGCTTCAGCTTCCCGAGTAGCTGGGACTACAGGCACACGCCGCCACCTCACCCAGCTAATTTTTGTACTTTTTAGTAGAGATGGGGTTTCACCTTGTTGGCCAGGATGGTCTCGATCTCTGGACCTCATGATTCACCCGCCTCGGCCTCCCAAATTGCTGAGACTACAGGCGTCAGCCACTGCGCCCGGCCGAGAGAGATTGGTATTATGTAATGGTGAGATGGATTAACTTTCCAGGAATCTATAACAATAATTTATAAATCATATATATATAATTTGAAAAATCTGCAAAAATATACCACTGAGATTTTGACAAAAATTACATTAAATTTTTGTATTACTATAAATAGCACTGACATCTTTCTTTCTTTTTTTTTTTTTAGAGACAGAGTTTCTTTCTCTCTGGCTGGAGGGCAGTGGCATGATCTCTCGATAGGCTCACTTCAACCTCCTCCTCCCAGGTTCAACTGATTCTCGTCTTTCAAATATGTAAAACAAATATTGACAGAAGTCAAGCAAGAAATACATAGCAACACAACAATGGTGGACTTCAAGACTCCACTTTCAGTAATGACTAGAATAGTCAGAAGTAATATCAGTAAGAAAGCCAAACCTGAACATTATAGACCCAACCAGCATTTACAGAACTCTCCAATTTAAAGGAGCAAAATCTGCAATATTCTAAATCACACATGGTACATTCTGTTAGGATACATGTCTTATTAAATTTAAGAAAACTGAAGCCATACAATGTAAATGAAACTAGAATTCAAAAGCAAGAAAATGTGGCAAATATGTAAATAAGAGGAAATTAAGCAAAATCTTTCATATAGTCTTGCTCAAGTGTCAGGTGATTTAATATTGTTAAGATGTCAGGGCCGGCATGAGGCTCATGCCTGTAATCCTAGGACTTTGGGAGGCCAAAGTGGGTGGATCACTTGAGATCAGAAGTTTGAGACTAGCCTAGTGAATATGGCAAAACCCTATCTCTACTAAAAATACAAAAGTTAGCTAGACGTGATGGTGCACGACTGCAATCCCAGCTACTCTGGTGGCTGAGACTGGAGAATTGCTTGAACCTGGGAAGCGGAGCCTGCAGTGAGCACATCTCGCACCCCTGCCCTTCAGCCTGAGTGACTCACTAAAACTCCATCTCCAAAAAAAAAAAAAAAAAAATGTTGTCAGTACTACTCATGATGATATAAAAATGTAAGGTAATTTTTGTCAAAATCCCAATGGTATTTTTTTTGCAGAATTTTTGTGTATAATTCTAAACGTTGCTTAGGACAGGTGACTAGCCAAACACCCTTTAAAAAGAACAAAGAGGTATTACATTTTCTGATTCAAAATCATGATACAAAGCTACAAAAATAAAAACAATGTGGTATTGCCACAAAAACAGATACATAGATGACGAAACAGAATAGAGATCCCAGAAATAAACCCTTGCATATGTGATAAAATAATCTTCCGTAAGCTTTCCATGACCACACAATAGAAAAATAAGAATCCATTTAACAAAGAGTTTTCCAAATTGAATATTTACAGAGAAAAAAATAAAGTTGGATGCTTCCTTTGTATCATATATAAAAAGAAAAGTTTTTAAAATGAATTCAATACTTAAACATAAAACCTAATAAAATTCTTAGAAGTAAACATAAGGGAAAAGTTTATGACATAAGTCTTAAAACTCTTTCCTTAAGTTTGACATCAAATTCATAAGCAACAAGGAAAAGAACAACGACCAAGAAAAGGGACTACATTAAGCTTCAACTATTCTACACATCAAATAAAACATTTAGTGCCATACAAACGTCACCTAATAAGTGGGTGAAAGCTAGGCATGGTGTCTCATGCCTTTAATTCTACAACTTTAGGAGGCCAAGGCAGAACAATCACTTGAGACCAAAAGTTTGAGACTAGCCATGAAAACATAGCAAGACCCTGTCTTGTATAGGGTTATATATATGCATACATACATACATATAACTAAAAAGAGTAAAAATATTTTCTAATCACATATTTGGTAGGTGTTAATTTTCAAAATATATAAATTCCTAAAACTCAACAACAAAAAAAGTTAATAACTTGATTTAGAATGGCACATGTTTGAAATGACTTTCTCCAAAGAAGACATAGAAATGACTAGGCATTTAAAAGGATACTCGACAACTCTCTTCTAGAAAAATACAAAGAAAAGTCACAATAATCTATCACATCAAACCTATTTTTAAAATAGTATGAAAGCTCTTCAAAAAATTTAAAATGAGATTATTATACAATCCAGCAAACCCCATTCTGGCTATGTATTTAAAATATACAACACATGATCCGGAAGAGATATTTGCACACCCAAATTTATTGCAGCATTACTAACACAAGCCAAAAGGCAGAAACAACCCAGCTGTCCCTTGACCAATGAAGAGATTAACAACAAGTGGCACATACACAAAGTCGAATATTATTCAGTCTTTAAAAAGTCACATTATATGATTATTCTTGAGAATATCACGTTAACTGAAATAAGCCAGGAACAAAGTGACAGTCTATGATTCCATTCATAATCAGGTATCTTAAGTAGACAAACTCATAGAAAAAAAAAGTTAGAATGGTGTTTGTCAAGGACTGAAGAGATGGTAAAATGGGCAATTGTCTTAAAAGACATTTAATGTTAGTTTTGCAAGACATAGAAGTTCTACAGATCTTTTGCATAACTATGTGAATGTACTTAACGCTAATGAAATATACACTTAAAAAGAATTAAAATGGTAAATTTTACATTATGTGTTTTTACCACAATCGCAATTTTTAAAAGGAAAAATATGGACTTATAAAGCTTTCCAAAAATTAAATTTTGTTCACAAAAGATTTTCTCTCACACAAAGGAAGTATAGATTTATAATTAAACACATTGTGAAATTAAGATTATTTCAATGACTATTCATCCACACAAGATAAGACAACCACTGAAAATCAGCCAAAAAATATGGAAGATAAGCCATGAGCAAAGTTGGGGACATATTTATAGAGACAAACACATATATAATTTAATTTTGAAAACGTATGACCGATTTATATTTTAATTAAACCCAACATTAGTTTCCTGAGTGAAATTTGGTTTTCAGTTTGGGCAAATGAAGACCTTTCTGTGGTTAAAAGGATTCTTTCTTCTCCGTTTCTTCATATGGACCTGTGCTGGGGATTGGTCAGCTGTTCAAGTGCAATGCACTCAGTTTTGGTTCTGTGCCAGGATTAAACCTACGATATTTCACATTTCATATATAAACCCCGATGAAGTGTTTCTAGGAGATGGCTGCCTCATAACCTATATTTTGCCAAATGTTTACTATGAATTTCACCACCATCCTCTTGAAGGTGGTATTGTAACTAAAACTCTTCAGGACATTCTACTTAAAACTAAAATCACGTATATCTCAAGAAACTCCTTTCTGATTTGAAATGCCTCTGTCATGTATTGTCTGCAATCAGCCTCCTCTTTAAAAGAAAGTAGAAAGGACAGATGAGGAAACTGATAGTGTTACTGCATGGGAGACAGAGGTGAGGATACACATGGCGGATGAAAACATGGAAGTTATTTCTACAGCACGATCTTGTAAGTGTCTGACTGCTATGCTCCCTTGTATATCAAATGATGTACCTTTATTGCAAGAGAAGATAGTGCGCTGTTTACCTTGACATTGAGAGGCAATTTTGAATCTCTGTCGTGATTGTTTAGGACTGAGGATTTAATGTGCTATTTTGTGGAAATCTTAGAAGCAGTAATGGGATTTAATGATCTTAACTATCATCCTTCTGAAAAATCTAACGCGATTTTAAATAAAATGGCCGGCTGCTTCCACCGTTCCCTTTTTAAACCAGGAGCTGCCGTTGCTTTTAACATTACGAAGTTGAATCTATGAATAGTTTGTACTATTAACATTTTTTTAAAAATCCACATTGACTTGAAGTGTACAGGCAGAGTTGGAAATTATAACATCCAAAGTTATAATACATAAGTAAAACCCAAAATAAAATCAACTGCTGCCCTGGAACCTATTATAAATAATCGAGACAGTAATATGGAATTGTAAAGAAAAATAAGAAACATATTTACTCATAAAATCTTGCAAGCAAAGTTTTTTTCTTTTTTTGAGACAGAGTCTCACTCTGTCACCCAAGCTGAAGTGCAGTGGCGAGACGACGGCTCATTTCAACCTCCGCCTCCTGAGTTCAAACCATTCTCCTGCCTCAGCCTTCACTGAGATTACAAGCACCTGCTACCAGACCAGGCTACCTTGCATATAAACTTGATATATCATTTATGAAAATACTTTTTAGATAACTAAAATATTCTACTGTGACTGTGCATTCATGAAGTTCGGGTATCTTGAATCATTGGCATGCAGTGTGTGACAGTAAAATTTCACAGAAAATACACTGTAACCATTAATAAAAGGCCCTAATAAGAGAATTTTAATGCATAAGAATTGAAAAGACACCATAAATAATTTCCGTTGTATTTTTAATACACTGATGCTATTCTTACACAAAGTAAAAAGGCTGGGTAAGTTGTGGTGGCTCACACCTGTAATTCCAGCAATTTGGGAGGCCGAGGTAGCAGATTGCTTAAGCACAAGAGTTCACAACATGCCTGGGCAGGATAGGGAGACCCTGTCTCTGCAAATAATAATAAACAGCCAAGTGTGTTAATACACATTTGTGGTCCCATCTGCTCAGGAGGCTGAGGCAGGAGAATTGCCTGAGCCTGAGTGGTCAAGGCTAGAGTGAGCTGTGATTATGCATTGCATTCCAGCCCAGGTGACACAGTGAGACCCTGTTTAAAGAAAAAAACAAACAAAAACTAAAAATTAACCAGGAGTAGTGGCATGCACCTGTACTCCCAGCTACTTCAGAAGCTGAAGTTAGAAAATCATTTGAGCCTGAGAGTTTGAGTCTGCAGTGAGCCATAATTGAGCTACTGAACTCCAGTCTGTGTGACAGAGCAAGGCCTTGTCATAGATAGATAGATGATAGATGATAGATAGATAGATAGATAGATGGAATACACCTGGAGAAAGAGTAAATTTTAATGTAGTGTGATGTAATTTTTAAAATAAACTTTATGTGTGTATCACTTAGAAATTTATAGAACAGGCCGGGGGCGGTGGCTCACGCCTCTAATCCCAGCACTCTGAGAAGACGAAGTGGGCAGATCAGGGGGCCGGATATCGAGACCAAGACCATCCTGGCTAACACGGTGAAACCCTGTCTCTACTAAAAATACAAAAAATTAGCCGGGTGTGGTGGCGGGCAACTCTAGTCTCAGCTACTCGGGAGGCTGAGGCAGGAGAATGGCGTGAAACCGGGAGGCAGAGCTTGCAGTGAGCCGGGATCGCGCCGCTGCACTCCAGCCTGGACAACAGAGCGAGAGTCTGTCTCGAAAAAAAAAGAAATTTATACAACTTAGCCAGAAGAATAAAAAACAACCTCTTAACAGTTTTTTCAAATAAAAAAAGTGAGTTTGAAGAGAAGGGAATAAAGGGGACTTTCAGTTTAATGTGTTTTTTATTTTTTGAGTCAGGGTCTCACTTTGTTGCCCACATGGAAGCGCAGTGGTGTGATTTCAGCTCACTGCAAACTTGGCCTCCCAGGCTCAAACAATCCTCCCACCTCAGCCTCCCTAGTAGCTGGGAATACAGGTGTACATCACCACAACTGGTTAATTTTTGTATTTTTGTAGAGAGAGGGTTTTACCATGTTGCTCACACTGGTCTTGAGCTTCTGGGCTCAAACAATTCACCTGCCTTGGGCTCCCAAAGTGCTGGGATTGAGCCACTAGGCCAACCAAGTTTTTTGTTTGGTTTTGTTTTTGAGATGGAGTCTCACTCTGTTGCCCAGGCTAGAGTGCAATGGCACGATCTTGGCTCACTGCACCATTTGCCTCCTGGGTTCAAGTGATTCTCCTGCCTCAGCCTCGTGGGTAGCTGGGATTATAGGCACCCGCCACCGAGACCAGCTAATTTTTGTATTTTTTAGCAGAGATGGGGTTCCACCATGTCAGCTAGGCTGGCCTCAAATTCCTGACCTCATGATCCACCCACCTCGGCCTCACAAAGTGCTGAGATTACAGGCATGAGTCACTGCTCCCGGCGACCAGCCAAGACTTTTACTTTATAAAGATATTTATGATGTTTTCTTTTCTTTTTACAGTACGCATTGCATTTATAATTGGAGATACAAAAAAAGGTGACTGTTACTGTTTGACAGCAAGGCAGTAGTATTATCTTCATCAATATTTGCAACTTAATTCGCAGGAACCTGTAAGAGAAAGCCCAGACAAAACTTTAAGGCAAAGAAGTTACACTTGTAAAAAATGAGAGGACTATTTTTTTATAATAACAAATATTCCAGGTGAGGACTGGTCAGGATCTACCACTGCTCCATCTCACTTGATAAGTCTCATGCCTGCCAGGGTAAGAAGGAGCAGAGAGAAGGACAAATGCCAGTGAGTTTCCTCTCCCACTAAGGATCTGTTTGTCAAGTTTCCTACCATCAAGTGGAAGATGTACTAAAAATAAAATGTACCCTTGCAGATGCTAGCAGAGAGGCACAAAATAGAAAAGGAGGTAAGCCCATATATTGTGGAGAAAGAGATCCAACTTAAGATTCAAAATGCACCAGAAAGCTGTGTAAAGTTAATAAAATTACTCAAAATCTTGGAACATTTGTTTCCTCACCTGTAAAATGGGGATCATGTGCCTACTTCATAAGTTGTTTTGACAGTTAAATTCACAGAGATATTTAATAGAGCCTGCTATGGCAAGTGTTCACATTAACAAAGTAGTATCAAACTTCAAAATATGGGAAAGGTATTTTGAATAATGTCTATGAGGCCAAGGACAACATGCCCAGCTTCACAATCAATCCCAGCCACATTACACTGAGGAGATCTACAGGCAACTATATTTCTTCAACAAATTCCATTAGAGAGGAAGAGTGTGTAGTCTGAAAACATGACACAAATGTGACCAGTGTACAGTGACTTAGGTAGTCGGGGGTGGAATCCCTACATATTCTCTGAATTGCAGCTACACAGTGAGTTCCCAGGAAACAAATGGAATAGAAAAGGTGACACAAAATATACTACCATAAATGGGGTGAGCATAGCAGGTTCACAACCACAAATGTAAGCAGGAGACTCAAATCACCAGGAGCACCTAGATCTGTGAACAGCAGCTTGTGGTGGCATCAGGTTCAACTTTCTGAGACCACCGGTGTGGGCAGTGTCTTTGCAGGCACATACTCGGCAGCAGTGTATCTGAAGACAGATCTCAAGGCTCTTCTCTTCACTAATTATTAAGATGATAGATGATGGATACCCTCACGTTACAACATCCCCACTAACGCTGTGGACAAGTGAATTCAGAAACCCACACCTAAATACACAGTGAAGAGTAGGATGAGAATACTGCAGGATAGGTTAGGAATGCAGGCATTCGACCCCATAGAGTCTATTTAAAATAAGAGAAGGGCCCTAGTATTGTGCTGTGGTCCTCCTATATATAGTTCTTTATTTTTCCAATTTCATAAAGGCCATACAGTTTTTCTTCCTTTCTTCACAAATGTGCTGATGAACCCATGAGTAATTCATCCTGAAGGGGTTAATTCCTCATAAAGTACAGTAACGTGATTCAATTGCTATGATGAGGTTTTTCAGGATTTTTTTATAGTGTCCCATACTCACCGATCACAAGTGAAAATTATAAGAACATGTAATTTGAACAAAGTATTCTTTTCACATAGAGAAATACACAGGTTTATACAGATTAGATGCATCATCAAAGTTGGTAACATCTGGGAACAAAAGGAACTATCCTGAGGACATAAGGAACTTAGGGACGTCGATTATTAAGAGGCTACCTGCAAGTGGAACTTCTGGGTTTTCATTGTCTAGACAGAAAAATTTAACTCATAAGCCCCAGTATATTAAGGTACATCCCCAACGGCTGTGGGGGATCAACTTTCCATCCAAAGCAGAGATGTAAAACATGAATGACTTCAAATGCGGCTCAAGTGCTCTGCACCTTGAAAGTCATCCCCACAAAGCTGGAGCACCACCTGTTCCTGAGGGATGAGGTCACCAACTGCTTTTTTGAGACACTCGTCAGTCAGGACTCAGTTGAGATGAGGCTGGTGATTTCAACTGTAAAATATCTAAACCATCGTCTTTAGGTAGATTCTTATGCCTGGAATTGTGGTTTTCTCCTCTGCTGTTAGCAGATCCTGAGTAACCCAAGAAATACCCGCTCTCACCCGTCAAGTTCTATATCACAAGAAAGGCGCTGCAGACGGTGACATTTTCACGAAGGAGCCACAGCCCGCATCACCCCCTGAAAGCTCTGAAGTTGCGCACGGGTGGGTCACGCAGCAGGTGGATGTCTCAGTTCCCATAGAGTTTAGCAGAGCAGGCGGCTCCCTGGGCTGGAAGAGGTGCGATGCTCTGGAAACCCCCCGCGGGTGTGTATGTGAGAGGACACCGAGATGTTCAGCGGGCTGTTCAGTGAGGACCAGACCCCTCCGATTTGAGCAAGGGAGGTGCACTTCGCAGGGTCACACCGTCCTCATCGCCCAGCCTAGACCTGCCCCTCAAGTCCTTCTGCGGACTCCCTTGGCGAGGGGGTGGCACAGAATCAGCATGTGGCATCGCTTAGGAAAGGACGAGTCCACACCGCCCTGTCCCTCCCTCCAGGGCTGCGCACCACGGGGTAGGACAGACAGCGCATGCTGGTTTTGTAGTTAGCAGGTCGGCGACCAATGGGCTGGAAACCGTTAAGACACCATAACTCCCAGCACTCCTAGCTAGGGACGCGCCTCCCTATCCTTCGCTTCCATACTACACACCGCCCCCAAACCCAGCGCATGCTGAGATTGTAGTCCGTTAGCCTCGCGACCAATGGGCTGGAAATACTGAAAGGACTATGACTCCCAGGATGCTTTGCGAGGTACCCGCCGTCCCGATCCTTCCTCTAGGGCTGCGCACCGCCCCCAAGCCCAACGCATACTGGGATTGTAGTCAGGTAGTCCTGGGACCAACTGACTGGAAACTGTTAAGAGACCATAACTCCCAGCACGCCTGGCTAAGGACGCACCTCCCTATCCTTCCCTTCAGTGCTACACACCGCCTCGAAGCCCGGTGGCTGCTGGGATTGTAGTCTGCAGGCCGGGGGCCATCGCTGGAAACCGTTAAGAGACCATAACTCCCAGCATCCCTGGCCAGGGACGCGCCTCTCTATCCTTCCCTCCAGCGTTACACACCGCCCCAATCCCGGTGCATGCTGGCATTGTAGTTCGGTAGCCTTGCGATCAACGTGCTGGAAACTGTTTAAGGACTATGACTCCCAGGACGCCTTGCGAGGGACCCACCCTGTTGACCCTTCCTCCAGGGCTGGGAACCTCCCTTAAGCCCAGCGCATGCTGGGATCATAGTCCGACTGCCGCGACAGAAAGGCTGGGAGTGGATCTGAGACTACAGTTCCAACACTACGGGGAAAATTTCATCTTCTCTGAGACTACAGTTCCAACACTGAGGGGATAATTTCATCTTCTCCTCCGCCCCTCCATGTTTCCAGTGCAATTCCGCCCTGCTGAGGGGAGCCTATCTGTTCCCAAACTTCTGCGTGCGAGGAGACAGCGTGGCCAGGGCAGGTGGTCTCACTTGTAATTGTGGCACAGTCTCCCCACGTGCCAGTTGTACGACTATTTGTGCCTGAAGTTTGATTTCTCTCTGACAAGACAGAGCCCGGGAGCCTCCAACAGCCTGCCCAGCGTTGCTGTAACGCTTGCTTTCGGGGAGCTGGGCGCGCCCAGACCTTTGCAGGGCCCCTCCCTCAGCCCCGACCCTTCTCCTCGCCCCTCCCCTGCCACGCCCCTTTCGACATGCTGGAAAGTCATCTACCTTTAATAACAGTCATCTTTGCAAAAAAAAAAAAAAAAAAAACTCTGAGAATAACCTATCTCCCATTCTATTTAGTATTTATTTCCATAGTATCCATAAATAGTAGCAATTAGATATCACAGCAAGTCAAGCAAAAGCCCTGCCTTGCCTGTTTCATAAACCACGATATGGCCTTGCTGTGGTTTTATTTGTATTTTGTTTTGTATTTATTGACCTTTTGGATATAAATATTTAGGTATTTGGACAGTTTTTGGAAGTATTCCGCTATTAGTTGTTGATTTACTTCTGTTCCCTATTTAATTATTTTTTGTCTCTCCCTTCTCCTTAGACTCAGTCATTCCACAGGTCTCGAGAGTTCTGTTCATTTCCTTTAAACTTTTTGTACTTTTTTTTTTCCAGACTGGATAATTTCTATTGCTGTGTCTTCTGTTTTAAATCTATGGCTAAACTCAAAAGATTTTTTTCATTTCCTTATCTATAATTTTTTTATATATATGTTCATTTCTCTGCTGAAGTTCCACATCTGTTTGTTTATGAATAGAATATTTTCTTTTTTCCCCATGAACATATTCATAAAAACTGCCTTCAAATTCTTGTCTGCTGATTGCAACATCCTGGGATAGCTTCTACTGCCTGCTTTTGATATTGTGTATGGATGACATTTTCACGTTTCTTTACAAGTCTTATGAATTTTAAAATTGTGCACTAGAAACTATAAATGATAATTATAGAATAGAAACTCTGGATTTTGCTGTTTTACCTTGAAGACTTTTGTTTTATAAACAGGGTTCATTGGGCTAGTGTCAAACCAATGCTTATGTCCGCTACAGTGGGTATAGCTGAAATCTTCATTCAGTTGTTAAACACACATATCATATATGTATTATGCATAGGCGTTTTTCTATAATAATATATTTTATTCAAGTTTCATCATTGTTATTTGTGAGAGTTCAACAAGCTAGTCCACACTTAGTGGAAGTCAGAACCTCAGTTTTATTTGATTGTAGCATTTTATATAAACAAAATTATATAGTATGTATACTTGTACATCTGTTTTCTTTATTTCCTTTTCTGTTTTCTTTCTTTCTTTCCTTTTCTGTCTTCTTTCTTTCTCTCTTTCTTTCCTTCTTTCTTTCTCTCTTCTTTTTTCTTTCTTTCTTTTCCCCAGGTTGGTGTGCAGTGGCATGATCTCACTGCAACCTCTGCCTACCAGGCTTAAGATATCCTTCCACTTCAGCCTTTTGAGTCACTGGGACCGCAGCCTTGCACCACCATGCCCGGCTAATTGTTTTGTATTTTTGGTAGAGACAGGGTTTCACTATGTTGCCCAAACTGGCATGTCTGCTTTCTTTTATGCAACATTACATTTGTGATATTCACCCACCAGTTGCAAATAGCTATAGTCTGTTCATTTTAGAAAGTAGTTTTTACCTTTTAGTAAAATATAAAAATACATGAAATTAACCATTTTATTATTTTTTTTGTGTGCAGTTTAAAGAAATTAAATACATTCACATTGTTTTGCAACCATTGTCCAAGTTCATAAGGAACTGTTTTTCAATCTTTTAAAAGTGAAACTCTGTACCCAGTAAACAACACTCCCCTTCCATTGCCCTTTGTGTAGTCCCTGGAAACTACTCTTCTACTTCGTGTTTCTATGAACTTAACTGCTGTAAATATCTCATATGAGTGGAAAGAGACAATATAGCAAAAAAATCATGAGGAAGAATAATATATACTATATAACATATGTTTATCCATTTTAAGAAAAATGCTAGCAGAGATCAGGTCATGGTGTTTATAGAGAAAGGTAGGTAACAGTGAAAAAGGGATTGGTTGCATTAAATTTACGACGTGATGCCTCAAGTGCCAGAGTAGTGAGCTTTCTGCCCCACTCGCAGGGCTGGTCAATGGTGTGGCTGGAACCCTACTTGAGCTGCCTGACTGCCAGAGCCCATGCTTAGTACAAACTTCAATGAGCCATGAAAGCAATTCCAACAACAGGCACTTAATGGCTCTGAGATTTTATCACAGCCTGTTCTTCATGGCTAGCAACTTCAGAGAAGAGTGACAGCTGTGAGGTTCCAGAAGCCACACCTCAGGTCCCCCAGTTCCTCCCCAGCAGCTGGAGTCCAGGTGCAACAGGACCTGATGCCGGCCAGGGAACCATGGCCACACGCTGTGTGAGGCTGGCGGCAAGACAGTCTCCCCTCCTACCCTCTGCTCATCTGCTAGGTCTTTGCCTTTTATTCTGATTGTGCTGCTCCAGGCTTGGAACAAAGCCCGAAATTCCTCTTGAGTCTGAAGATGATGATGGTTTCCAGCTGTGTGGAACTGCTGCATCTCCTGGAGGACTTTAATCTTCTGGAAACAGAGGGAAAGACAGGATGCTGACAGGGCCTGGGTGAAAGACTCTGTAGGGGCCTTATAAAAGAAGGGAGGAGGGCTGGTCTCTGAGGTGTTTCTTTTAAGGGGCTCTCACCTCCCCTCCAATATCATGCAGCCCTAACTGGTTCTCAGAGTTGAATGTAAACGGCCCTTCCTCTAGGAAGTTGTCATCAACTTCACTCCCCTGATTGCACCCTGCATTAGGATAGGTCTCCTCCTTCTCTGTGTATTACTCCCTTTCAATAAATCTTAGATGCGGAAGAAGGGACCAGGGAATGTCCTGCCCAGGGTGATTTCTCATTTCCACCTCCACCCTCCCTCAAAGTGAGGACTTCAGCTACTGCTCACCTTTCTGTTTTTCTGGGTTTTGATCACATTTCTCTGGAAGACAGAAAGCCAAAGACCATCAGAAAGGTCCGCTGGTCCATAACTAGCCTCCATTTCCAGCGATTTCCAAGCTTCACCACCACCAGAGCCACCAGGGTCAGGGAATGTGCACAAAAGAGGTCTTGCAGCTCTGCAGCTTCACTACTCAGGGAGTGGGACTGATGGCTGCTGTGGAGCCTCCATCACTCATGAGTAAAATACCCTGTTTACGGGATGGGGAGGGCTGCGAGGCCCTCGCAAAAAATTTTGGCAAGGACTGAGATCTAGGAGCTCAGTTCAAGACTCTCTTCTCCCAGGCCTCAGGATCCTGGTCCCTGACCTGTCTTCTCCAGGCTCACTCACATCCACACACTCCTTCATGGCAATGTCCAGCATCACCACATCAGTGAGGAATGTCCCCAGAGAGGGCATGACTTGGGAGGTGCCCACCCAAGTCCTGTCCGCTGAACTCTTATAAACCCCTGCCTCCTGGCGCCCTCTACCTAGGTTACCCACTTGGAGTAGCTGAGAACCCTCAGCTGCCTTTTCCCAATTCTCTATGTCTTCCCATTAGCTGGCCTCTATTGCCACCAACCTCACCATAATTACCTCCTTGGTGGGATTTTAACAAGCCACAAGGTCATGTGGTCCCTGGCTCCACCTGTTTTAAAAGCCACACGGAGCCCAGCTCTCCCAGGCCTTGCTCTGGTCTGTCTAATGAAGGTGTTTTAGGCACTGCAGCCCCAGGAGAAAAGGGCTGGAGTAGAAAGGCCCTCTGCTTTTTTGATTTGGAGGTTTCCAGCTGGGAGAAGTAAGCTCTGTTCTCTGAAACCCTGGAGCCCTTCCCCATCACAGACACATTCACCTTCTGCTGTCACAGCCTCATCTAAGCTCTCTGAGGCTCCGCTACAGGGTAGACAACTTGTACGGTGTTCACCTGCTAGGATGAGGGACAAGGTCAGTGAAAATATGCTTCTTTCAGTTACGCCTCAGCCACACTAACCTTGGACACGGATAAGTGGCCTGAGTCAGCTTGTCCAATGCTCTGACCATCTCCAGTAAGCTCTGACTCTAGACTCACTCCCAGGTCCAACACTCCCTGGATGTGTCATTTTGGGCATGCAGTCGGGTTTCCCTGAGCTGTTTCCTCAACTGGAAAGTGTGGTGGGAACCAACCACCTCACAAGGCCTCTTACCACCTCGGTTTCATGTGGTTGTCATGATTGCTGTCACCATCTTCCCTCTCAGGATGAGCCAGACACAAGCACCCTCAGATTCTCTGTCTCCCTGAGCCCCATCACCACCTTGTGAGGCCTGCCCAACAGGCTCATCATTCCTACATTTTCCACATAAGAAAACAGAGGCCCAAAGCGGCAATGACATGCCAAGGACCCCACAAGAGAGGCCAGCTCCTCCCTCAACCTAGAGGGACTGTCCCGGCTGCCTTCACCTAACACCCTAGCATCATCACTGACCAGCATTCCATCTTCTAAACTCTATGAGTGACAATATTCCCAGCCAGGCCCTGTGGCAGTGGACATGGTTCTGAGAATTGGGAATCTAATGTGGAGGAAAAGTTAAATATTTAATATGAACTCAATTGAACATGGGCACAAACAATGGTCACGAAGTCCTGGAACAGGTTGCATGAACCCCTTGAGGTGTTCATCCAGCGCTGTTTCAGAGAAATCTTTCAATCCATTCCTATACATTAGTTATTGAAAAAACAACAGACAATTGCAAAAACAAGTTGATCTTTTGTGTTCCTTGAGCCCAGTTGTGAAGGGCACCTGTGACTGCGCCTCATGCCAAACAACACATTACAAAAAGAGCTAGGGTCCCAGACTGTGCTGAAGTTTCATGAGACCTCTCCTCATCTGTGCATGGACACGTGGCTGACTCTGGAGCCCAGGCTGTTGCTTCCCAGTCTGGTAATGAATCCTCCATAGTCTGGTGCGTGTAAATATACATATACATATATGTATATTTATATACATGTATATGTATATAAATATACATATATATATTTTCTTTCTGTCCTTCCCATTGCAATTTGCTTATTATATTATTTGCTTATCAAGTCTGTATTGCCATACACTTGGGATAAAGGCTATTTATCCTTAAAACTATTGTGGGTGCCTTTTCTTTTCCCCTCGTTCATTTCCCGCACCGGAGCCCAGGTGATGGAATCTCGAAGTGACCTCACTTCCTTAGTTACAAACTCAAAGAAAGTTTAGAACTCTGGTAACCTGGAGCCCTAATTCTAGAGACAGCTTTGTATTTACTAAGGAGACTCTGAAGACAGCAAGATGTTCTCCTGCTATGTCTTGAATTTCTGAGGCTCTCATCTCAGGAAGGCTTGAACAGAGAGACTTTTTTTTATGATGGAGACAGTGCTCATTCTGCACTGCTGGCTCTTCTGGCCATTTGGAAAGGGTTACCCATAGATAACACAAGGCCACCCATGGCAGGCCTATCCAGGCCAGGCCTCACCTTTGATATCATCTCGGCAGGCACACACCCCTCCTCATCTCCACGTCTCGTGGGAAAGAAAGAGATAATGGGTCCTTTCTTGGCAGGAGCAGGTTTCCAGGTATTGGGAGGCTAAAAGCCTGTCAAATTTATACCGCAGGTTACAGTTGGCAGGAGGGGAAGGTGAGTGCTGGGGGTCACCTTTGTTTGTTCAGACATTTATTCTAAGGCTTCAAGCTGTCCTCTTGTTTTCTCCCTGGCTGGAGGTCTGCGCAAATGCTCCTATGTGCCTGATCTGGGGAGTAGACTTTCTAACTGGAATTTCCCCTGTGGGGAAAGCCAGGATGCCATTGATGCCTCTTGGCCAGGCTTCCAGGCACTCTCTTTGCAGAACTCTATTGAGGAGATCCCTGAGGAGCTGTTTGATGAGTCCAACTACTCCATCTCATTGAACAAAAGGCAGGTGCATCATGCCAACAACCATGGCCCGTGCTAGTCTGGAGTCAAGGTGGGCACAGAGAGGTCTCCAAATGGAAAAGACCAGGGAAGCCCAGGACCCTGACCCAAATGTGAGGATTCCCCAGAAACCGTTTTAGGGCTTTCTCCATTAAGGACCCACAGTTCCTTCCCAGAGGAATTTGGCCTCCATTAGTCCATAATGGCAACTTAGGTGCACAGTCCCTGGTCATATGCTTGCAGGAATGTCAAAAGAAACACTTTTGTGTTGTTATTACTTTACATTAAGTTGTGAGTATCTTTGCATTTTGCTATTATTTTTATTGTTATATCTACCTACCCCACATACTTCCTGGAGCAGGCAGCTTCGCTGCCTTGCCAGACCTTCTCTAAGTCTTAGAAGTTCACACTGTTACTAGAGAGAGGTTTCACCCAAAAAGTGGGAGTTATGCAAAAGGGTCTTATATGACTCTTTACATATGTGTCCCAGAGCCCACCTCTATAGCCCCATCAGGACAGGAGCTGTGTCCTCATATGTCTTTATAAGATTCCATAAGTGGGGCCTTTCCCTCAGTAATTTAGGCTTTTAATACTGGTGGAGCCTGACATAATAAATTCTATTTCCACTTCAGCCATGCTACAGGGAATATCTTTTTTTTTTTTTTTTTTTTTGAGACGGAGTCTCGCTCTGTCGCCCAGGTGGGAGTGCAGTGGTGCAGTCTCGGCTCACTGCACTCTGCCTCCTGGGTTCACGCCATCTTCCTGCTTCAGCCTCCTGAGTAGCTGGGACTACAGGCGCCTGTCACCACGCCCGGCTAATTTTTTTTCTCTGTGTGTGTGTGGTTTTTTTTTTAGTAGAGACAGAGTTTCACCGTGTTAGCTAGGATGGTCTCGATCTCCTGACCTCGTGATCCACTCGCCTCGGCCTCCCAAAGTGCTAGGATTACAGGTGTAAGCCACCGCGCCCAGCCGCTACAGGGAACATCTTATCTGTGTCCTAATAGGCTGTAACGCTTTGCTATGACTTCCCTAATACAGTACCACAGGCTGAAGTTCTTTAACAACAAAAACTGAATGTCGCACAATTCTGGAAGTTAGAAATCCAACCTCAAGCTACTGGCTGTGTGGTTTCTCTGAGGTCTCCATCCTTGGCTTGTAGATCGTCATCTACTATATCTGTGTTCACAAGATCTTCTCTTGTGCTTTTCTGTCCTTCCTGCCTCTTCTAATAAGGGCTCCAGTCATCTGGAATTAGGATACACCCCAATTAATTCACTTAAACCTAACTACATTTGCAGAGGCTATATGTTCAAATATAGTCATGTTCTGAGGCACTAGGTGTTAGGACATGAACATATAATTTTTAGGAAGGGAATGCAATCTAGCTCACAACATTTACTAATCCCTTGTAGATTATAGTCTCCCAGGAAAATGATTACTCAGTGAAACAGTAGGAAAGTGTAAAGGTTTAATAGGAGAAGCCGGAATATATTCCAAAAGGGTTGTGAAAGCCGTACTGTAAATAGTAGTTTCTGAATTTATCTGCTTTTATGTATCCAGAACCTCTTGGTTGTCAACATTCTTTTAATTTTTTTGTCAATCTGCTATCTATGTGGCAAAAAAACATGTTTCTATTTCAATTTTTCAACTGATATATTTGAGTTACCTTTCAGTTGATTTATACTTATTTGAGTTTTCTGTTCCCTCAGTTAATCCGCTCAATTCCTTGGCCCTGTGAGGGGTTTCTCTCACCTTGGAGTCCCCAAGCACTGACACCTTTGTCAGGTGTGGGGTTGCTGTAGTTATTTCTCAACACTCCCTTTAAGGTTTTAAAAGACCCAGTTCAGTTGCTTTAAGTCAAAAGGGTTGTCTTAGGGTATCTTATCCTGTGCCCTGTCTCTAAAACAGAAAGAAAGTGAGCCTTCCCCATGCCCTTCCCCCTAAGTCAGGGACAGACATAGAGCCTCAGGTAGCTTAAAGGGAATTTCATGCAACCCCCACCGTGGAAGATTCTCTTTCTTACTTGTGTTTTTCTGAGCAGCCATTTGACATCACAAAGCTTTATTTTCTCATTTGTAGGCTGAGTATGTTTTTTTGGGAATTCTCTGGGATAATGCTCTTCATAAAGATTATTAATACAAGTGGGTGCTGTTGTCTTACAGCTGATATGATATCGTGAAGGCCTTGACTGTATTCATGGATTAATTATTCTCTACCTCCACATTAAATTTGATATCAGAGGCCTAAAACCTTTTTCACCATAAACACCCATGTCCTCCACATGCCCAAGTCTCTGAAGGATGGAGATTTCCTCATCCAAGCTCCACATTCCAAGCCTCTGGTGTTTCATGGTCTTGCCATGAAAAGTCTTGTCCCCTCCCCAAGAGGAAATGAGTCTATTCTTAACCTAGAGGTGTGAATGATGCCAATGCGCCAAACCAGGCACAACGGAGAAGCTGACGAAGTCCCTGACAGCAGCCTTCCAGGGTCAAACTCTCTTCTTTTTATCATTTTTCTCAAGTTTTACCAGGACTTCCTCACCACTCTGTAGTTCCTGGACCAGCTGTCTAGTAGTTGAGCATATGTCTTCTCCAAGGCACAGTGGTGACTCTGCCAGCTACTAACTGTGTCTTAGCATACCAGTGCATCTTTATCAGCCTCAATTTGCATCTTTATAGAGAATTGTAAAATGAACCTCTGTTCTGTACGAGAGACATGCAAGGGGAGAAGAAAACACACCCAAAAAAACCTTTAAGGGTAAACAAGCTTTATCTGACGTAAATGGCAGTGCAGCTATAATAAGCAAATTGCAATGGGAAGGGGAGAAGGGAAACATATATACATATTTACGCCCACCAGACTGCGGAGGATTCATTACCAGACCGGGAAGCAACAGCCTCGACTCCAGAGTAGGTCACCCATCCCTGCACAGACAAGAAGAGGTCTTAGGAAGTTTCAGCGTGGCCTAGAGCCCTAGTTCTTTTTGTAATGAGTTGTTTGGCATGAGGCCCAGTCACGAGGGCTCTTCACAACTGGGCTCAAGGAACTTGAAAAGGTTATCTTGTTTTTGCAATTGTCTGTGGTTTTTCAATAACTAACACATAGGAATAGATTGAAATAGATATTTCTCCAAAACAGTGCCAGATGAATGCTTCAAGCGGCTCATGCAACCTGTCTGAGACTTAATGACCATTGCTTTTGTCCATGTTCAATTGAATTCAAATTTAATATTTAACTTTCCCCCACAACCTTATATGTTTTTTGTGAGAAATGAATGGCATACAATATGAAAAGTGGTTTCCTAATGCTCGGCTTTGTGGAAAGCCTGCTGGGGCATGCTCTGATTGTTCGTATTTATTACTTTTTTCTCTTCTTTCACCCCAGAAGGTCTTTCATGTCACAGTGACTCATGTCCCTCTATAATTAGACAATCATATAGAAAACAAACATGTTCTTACATTTGTAAAGGGCACTTGAGCTTCCTGTTAGCTGGACTTTGTCCTTGAAACAGAGAGATCCTGTAGGAAAGAGTCCCCAGGCACACTCAGACATAGCTAAAAAGGTTGTAGTTAGGGCTTATTTATTCATCACATATATATAACGCAGTTTTCCAGACACTTGGCCTAATTCAGTGAAGACAACAGATGACAGTTCCTGGGCCACAATTTACTTCAGGGAGTCAGACACTCAGAGTGGACATTATAAGCAGGTCATGATCACAGAATGTGAGAACTGATGTTCTCATGCTCTCCTCTAGGAATGGATGCACCTGTCAGCTTCTGATCAGAACGACAGACCCAGGATCAAGCATAACATTTAAATAGACGAATAAAACTTTTTTCCAAAAAGGAACATCGCTTTATGATAAAAACTCTCAACAAATTAGGTGTAAAGTAAATTCACTTCAAAGCATTAAAGGCCATGTATTACAAATGAATAGCTGGGCGGGCAGATCTGCCATAAGGCAAGGGCATCCGCTTCCCTAGATACATATCCAGGGGCACAGAGAATGAGCAGTTCCAGGGTTGTGTCTCACATGGGGTCCTCTCCAGGTCGGTTTCAAGAGGACAGGACTGGGGTTCTGTATCCACTTCTGTGGAGAGCTGGAAGTAAAATGAGCTATGCTCCACCTCAGCCTAATGTAGACAATGGCTACAGAGAAGACTGTTTTCTTCCTCATAAATAGGGGTGCTCGAAGTGGGTAACCTTGATTGTTTCACATACTCATAAGTGTCTGCCAGCCTTGATTCTTCATTGGTGAACTAAGACTCTTTGCTCTGAAACTCTGCAGAAATGCTTCTACTCCCTGGAGGCCCTTCAAATCAGAGAGAGGCATGGCCACTCCAGAGGCATTTTGGGTAGATAAAGATGGGATAGAGCTAAACGTGTCAGAACACTGGACCCTGAGTCTGAAGTCATGGGAAAATGCCAGTTCCTGTTGGGTTTTTGAGCTCCTCATTTGAAAGTCGTATTAAATAATTTCCCTGGATAAGGGGAGGGTGCCTCATGAGTAAATGGCACACTCCAAATGGTGGAGGCAAAGAGAGGGCAATGGAGGATTCCAAGGTCACTCAGTGTACTTGGAGCCTTCAGATTCTGCTCCTTTGTCCTCTGGAACTCCAAAGAGTCAGTGTCTTGAGGACACAAAACAATGGTACCTGATTTGTTCCATAATGTTCCTGCATGGGGCTGCAGTGTTAGTGATGGCCTGGAGGTGGTTACAGCCTGCTGTGTTTCTGGTGCCTATTGAGCTTTGCTGGAGCAGCTGGAGCAAGTAAGAGTCACACACCTCATGTTATTATCAACAATTTCCACATTGCCCACTTAGCCAATCTTTTTTCCCTTGCACTCACCCTTTGCCAGCTACCCTGGTGGGTCCAACATGTGGCACAGAAAATGATTACATCATGCCTGCATACCCCTCCAAGGACAGAACAGTCTGAAGTCAGCTCGACAAAAGCACTAAAGCAAGTATATATAAAAGAAAAGAGCAAGGACTATTATATAAAGTAGAATGTTGAGAAGAAGAGCTGCAAAGTCATTGAATGGGGGGACCCAAAGTCCTCACTGAGGTGATCTTTAATCCATGATGAGAATGATAACAGGGAGGCATCTCTGCACAAGAATGTGTCAGTGAGAAGCCACCCTTGGTGAAGAGTCTTACAGGTGTGAGTTTGGCAGAGATTAGAAAGGGACCAATTTGGTACAGACAGCCTGAGGAAGAGATAAGCAGAGGCATGGAGAATCCTGGGGCTTGGGAGATGAGGCTAGATATCTGCTCCTTTCTGACAACATTGCCCTAAAACTTAGCACCTTTCAATAGTATATAGTATCTCACAATTTGTGTGGACCAGAATCTGGACACAGTTTAGTTAGCTGCCTCTGCCTTCAGGTCTCTTATGAGATTGGGGCTGTGGTCTCAACTGAATGTGGACCGGAAAAGCATCAACCTTTAAGCTCATGCTTGTGAAAATTGGCAGGGTTCAGGGTAGACTGAGAGCATGACTTTACTTCTGTCTACTGCCTGAGCACTCCCTCCGTTCTTTGTTATGTGCGTCTGTACATAGAGCATCTCATAGCATTGGAGCTTGCTTCCTCTGTTTGAGGAATACAATTGAGAGACAGAATTAGGCAAACAGTTTCACACAAAGAGACATAAAGAAATGGAAAGACTGAGGAAGCAAATAGGAAAAACCCAGTAGGAGGAATAATGACAGCTTTAAAAAAACTTGAGAGTTACAATAATTTGTATTAAAATTGTAACCCCCAGTGTAATGCTATAAGGAGATAGGTTGTAATTAACTCCTGAGGTTGAGGCCATCATGATTGAGATTACTGGCTTTACACAGGAAACCCCAGAGGGATGTCTGTCTCCTTCTACCAAATGAGAATAAAATTTGATGTGTGCAGTCTGAAATTCAGAAGAGTCATCACCAGAGCTCAACCATGCTGATACCCTGATCTCAAATTTCCAACCTCTAGGAGTGTGAGAAATTAAATCCTGTTGTCTATAAGCTGTCTAGTTCATGGTTCTTTGGTATAGCAGCCTGAACTAATACAAAAGTCATACACTATTCTGTATTCCATTTGACAGAAGCTGAATTTGTGCCTTCAAACTGTTAAAAAAAAAAGACTTAAAAATTGGATATTCAGAATGAAAGATAAGAAACAGCTTGTTGAAACACTTAAATCTCCTCTGCTTATAAGATTTTAAAAAATTGGCTGAAATATGTTGGAAGCAATATGGCCAACTGAAGTCCATGGAGAATGAGTTTGCTGATGTTAGAGCCCAAATTTCCGTTGCATGTTTCATATTAACACTCCCTGAATATTCATGTGACCTGTGAGGAAACAAGAGGAGATGACTGTGCATGTCTCATGACTTTCCATATTACTACTTTCCTTCCAGCAATCCCCTCCTAATCCAGAGCCCACTTCTTAAGCATTTTTTAATCAACACCTTAAAGCCTATATAAGGAAACTGATTTCAGCTGGACTCCTGTCTCCTGTTGGCCAACCTACAACAAGATGCCATTTTTCTCAAAACCCAAGTGCCATACTACTGGCATCGAGCAGTAGGTCATTTTGTTCAATAACAAACTGAGTCACTAACCACCTAGTGCTGGGAGACTTTGTGAAGGCTTTCCCCAACTTAGGTGAGATAAGGCACATGGATATAATTCTATATATAATAAGAAGTCACTAGAAAGTTTAATAGTTGTATTAGTCCATTTTTATACCGCAATGATGGAATACCTGGGACTGGGTAATTTATAAAGAAAAGAGGTTTAATTGACTCACAGTTCCACAAGATTGGGTGGGGGAGGCTCAGAAACCTTCCAATTATGGTGGCCAACAAGTGAAGTGAGTGAGAGCAGGGGATACACCAGAAGCTTATGAAACCATCAGATCTCTTGAGAACTCACTCACTATCACAAGAACAGCATAAGAAAAACCCGTCCCCATAATCCAATCAACTCCCCTCAGGTTTCTCCCTTAACACCTGGAGGTTATAATACAAAATGAGGTTTGGGTGGGGACACACAGCTAAACCACATCAGTGCCAGAGGATGATATCTACATTTAATTTCAACCTCGTACTGCAGCAGAATGAAACTGAAGCCCAGTGGGGAAGTGACTTTCCCAAGATTACACTGCTGGACCCCAGGCCTACCTGAGTTGTGGCCCATGCTACCTCCCACCTATTCTCCTAATGCTTCCATCTCTAAGTGTGTGCATTATTTACATGTGAAACTACACCACGATTTTTACATTTTATCTTATATACATCTGATACATTCCCTAGGAAGTAGATAACATTATCCCCACTGTGCACGCTAGGAGGCTGGGGAAGCCTCAAATACACAGTGACTTTTATTAGGTCCCAGAGATGGTAAGAAAAACAAGGTTATTTTCCAGCTGTCTCTTATATCCTGGAACCCAGGATGCATTTAGGTCTTTCCAGGGAATTAAGGGGAAGTTGTGTTTGCATAATTGTGTACAAATAAAGAGTTGACATGGAAGAGGAGACTGAGCAATCAATAGCATAGTGGGGCCTTTGGGTAGGTCTTATAGAAATAAGGGGCCCAGTAGATGGAACCTTGAAGAGTTTAACACACTTTCCTGGTGACAGAACCCCACAGCAGTTAAGAAACCAGGAACCCACATTCTTGAGACAGCTCTGTATCCACCTCTGTTGGTGAGAGATGCTCAAGAGAGTGAGATGTCCTTTCATTGTGCCTTGATATTTCTGAGTTCTAGCCTTACAAAGCCTCAATGTAAAAGCCTTCTCTGATAACACAGATATCAACTCAGCCCTCATTCCTGATACCCCTGGCCATTGGCCAAGTGCACCTACAGATAACACAGAGCAGCCCAGGACATGTCCATCGAGGCCAGGCCTCTCTCATCATCTCATCTGGGCAGCCCCACACCACTTCTTTGTACCATGAGTTGCAGGATGGACAAAAGAGAGGGCACACTTCTTGGGCAGAAGCCGATTGTCAGGTGTTGGAACTCTTGTGTGTTTGTTATGTTCATATTCAGGTCAGAGCTGGCAGAATAAAAATAAGAGAGTTGGGGAGTGAGTCTGTATACTCAGATGTGAATAGCAAGACTCCAACCTGATCTCTGGTTTCCTTCCTTGCTGGAGATTTATTTATTTATTTATACTTTAAGTTCTGGGATACATGTGCAGAATGTGCAGACTTGTTACATAGTTTTATATTTGCCATGGTGGTTTGCTGCATCTATCAAACTGTCAGCTAGGTTTTAAGCCCCACATATATTAGATATTTGTCCTAGTGCTCTCCTTCACTTTGCCCCCTGACAAGCCCTGATGTGTGATGTTCCCCTCCCTGTGTCCATGTGTTTTCATTGTTCAAATTTCACTTATGAGTGAGAACATGTGGTGTTTGGTTTTCTGTTCCTGTTAGTTTGCTGAGAATGATGGCTTCCAGCTTCCTCCATATCCCTGCAATCTGAGGTCTCTGTTCTGTTCCCTCTGTCTATATATCTGTTTTGGTACCAATATGACTTCCTCTCTTCCTATTTGCATACCCTTTATTTCTTTCACTTGCCTGATTACCCTGGCCAGAACTTCCAATACTATCTTGAATAGGAGTGCTGAGGGAGGACATCCTTGTCTTGTGCTGGTTTTCAAAGGGAATGCTTCCGGCACTTGCCTATTAAGTATGATATTGGCTAGGGGTTTGTCATAAACAGCTCTGATTATTTCGAGACTTTTTCCGTCAATACGTAGTTTATTTAGAGCTTTTAACATGAAGGGATATTAAATTTAATCTAAGGCCTTTTGTGCATCTATTGAGAAAATCCTGTGGTTTCTGTCATTGGTTCTGTTTATGTGATGGATTACATTTATTAATTTGCATACGTTGAACCAGCCTTGAATCCCAGGGATGAAGCTGACGTGATCATGGTGGATAACATTTTCGATGTGCTGCTGGTTTCAGTTTGCCAGTATTTTATTGAGGATTTTTACATCGATGTTCATGAGGGATATTGGCCTGAAATTTTTGTTGCGGTTGTGTCTTTGCGAGGTTTTGGTATCATTATGATGGTGACCTCATAAAATGAATTAGGGAGGAGTCCCTCCTTTTCAATTGTTTAGAATAGTTTAAGAAGAAATGTTACCAGCTGCTCTTTATGCTTCTGGTAAAATTCGGCTGTGAATCCATCTGGTTCTGAGCGTTTTTTTATTGGTAGGCTATTAATTACTGCCTCAATTTCAGAACTTTTTATTGGTCTATTCAGGGATTCAACTTCTTCCTGGCTTAGTCTTGGGAAAGTGTATGTGTCCAGAAATTTATCCATTTCTTCTATATTTTCTAGTTGATTTGTGTGGAGATGTCTATAGTATTCTCTCATGGTAGTTTTTATTTCTGTGGAATCAGTGGTGATATCCTGTTTATCATTTTTTAATGTGTCTATTTGTTTCTTCTTTCTTTTCTTCTTTATTAATCTAGCTAGTGGTCCATCTCTTTTGTTAATCTTTTCAAAAAACCAGCTAGTGGAGTCATTGATTTTGAACAGTTTTTCTTGTCTCTATCTCCTTCAGTTCTGCTCTGATCTTAGTTGTTTCTTTCCTTCAGCTAGTTTTTGAATTTGTTTCCTCTTGATTCTCTAGTTGTTTTAATTGTGATGTTAGGGTGTCGATTTCAGATCATTCCAGCTTTCTGTTGTGGGCATTTAGTGCTAGCATATCCCCTCTTAAAACTGCTTTAGCTGTGTCCAAGAGATTCTGGTACATTGTCTCTTTGTTCTCATTTGTTTCAAAAAAAACTTAATTTCTCTCTTAATTTTGTCATTTACTCAGTAGTCGTTCAGGAGCAGGTTGTTCAATTTCCATGTATTTATGTGGTTTTGAGTGAGTTTCTTAATCCTGAGTTCTGATTTGATTGCACTGTGGTCTGAGAGACAGTTTGTTATGGTTGCCATTTTTTCCATTTGTTGAGGAGTGTTTTGCTTCCAATTATGTGGTCAATTTTAGAATATGTGCTATGTGGCATGGAGAAGAATGTATATTCTGTTCTTCTGGCATGGAGAGTTCTGTAGTTGTCTATTAGGTCCGCTTAGTCCAGAGCTGATTTCAAATCCTGAATATCCTTGTTAATTTTCTGTCTCATTGATCTGTCTAATATTGGCAGTGGGGTGTTAAAACTTCCCAGTGTTATTGTGTGGGAGTCTACGTCTCTTTATAGGTCTGTAAGAACTTGTTTTATGAATCTCAGTGCTCCTCTGTTGGGTAGGTATATATATAGGATAGTTAGCTCTTCTTGTTGCATTGATCCCTTTACCTTTATGTAGTGCCCTTCTTTGTCTTTTTTCATCTTGGTTTAAAGTCTGTTTTACAAGAAACTAGGATTGAAACCTTGCTTTTTTTGTTGTTGTTGTTGCTTTTTTTGCTTTCCATTTGCCATTTCTCCTTCCCTTTATTTTAAGCCTATGTGTGTCTTTGCATGTGAGATGTGTCTCCTGAATATAGCACACCAAAGATTCTTGACTGTTTAACCAATTTGCCAGGCTCTGTCTCTTAATTGAGGTATTTAGCCCACTTATATTTATGGTTAATATTGTTATGTGTGAATTTGATCCTGTTATCATGATGCTAGCTGGTTATTTTGCACATTCGTTGATGCAGTTTTTTCATAGTATCGATTGGTCTTTATATTTTGGTGTGGTTTTGCAGTGGTGAACCATATTTTCCTTTCCATATTTAGTGTTTCCTTCAGGAGATTTTGTAAGGCATGCCTGGTGGTGACATAATCCCTCAGCATTTGCTTGTCTGTGAAGGACTTTATTTCCCCTTTGCTTTTGAAGATTAGTTTGGCTGGATATGAAATTCTGAGTTGAAAATTATTTTATTTAAGAATGTTGAATATTGGCCCCCACTCTCTTCTGGCTTCTAGAGTTTCTGCAAAGAGATCTGCTGTTAGTCTGATGGGCCTCCATTTGTAGGTAACCTGACTTCTCTCTCTGTCTGCCCTTAACATTATTTCCTTCATTTCAACCTTGGAGAGTCTGGCGATTATGTGTCTTGGAGTTGCTCTTCTCGAGGAGTATCTTAGTGATGTTCTCTGTATTTCCTGAATTTGAATGTTGGCCTGTCTTGCTAGGTTGAGGAAGTTCTCCTGGATAATATCCTAAAGTTTGTTTTCTAGCTTGGATCCATTCTTCCCGTCACTTTGAGGTATACCAATCAATCGTAGGTTTGGTCTTTTCACATAGTCCCATATAACTTAAAGGCATTGTTTAGCTCCATCAGGCCATTTATGTTTCTCTCTAAGCTGGTTATTCTAGTTAGCAGTTCCCATAACCTTTTATCAAGATACTTAGCTTCTTTGCATTGTGTTAGAACATACTTCTTTAGCTCAGAGGAGTTTATTATTACCCACCTTCTGAAGACTACTTCTGTCAATTCTTCAATCTCATTCTCCATCCAGTTTTGTGTCATTACTGGAGAGGTGTTGTGATCATTTGGAGGAGAAAAGGCATTCTTGTTTCTGGAATTTTTGGCATTTTTGTGCTGTTTTTTCCTCATCTTCATGGATTTATCTACTTTCAATCTTTGGGGCTGATGACATTTGGATGGGGTTTTTTTTGGGTGGGTCCTTTCTGTTGATGTTGATGTTGTTGCTTTCTGCTTGTTAGTTTTTCTTCTAACAGCAAGGTTCTTCTGCAGGTCCAGTGCAGTTTGCTGGAGTTCCAATCCAGACCCTGTTCACCTGGGTGTCACCAGTAAAGGCTGCAGAACAGCAAAGATTGCTGCCTTCTCCTTCTTCTGGAAACTTCATCCCAGGAGGATACCCGCCCAATGCCAACTGGAGCCCTTTTGTATGAGGTGTCTGTCAACCCCTGTTAGGAGGTTTCTCCCAGTCAGGAGTCACGGGGAACCCACTTGAGGAGACAGTCTGTCTCTTAGCAGAGCTGGTGCACTGTGCTGGCAGAATCCCTCTAGTCAAAATCAGCTGCTCTCTTCAGAGCCAGCAGGCAGGAATGATGAAATCCACTGAAGCTGCACCCACAGCCTCCCCTTCCCCCATGTGCTCTGTCCCAGGGAGATAGAGGTTTTCTGTGTAAGCCTCTGACTAGGGCTGTTACCTTTCCTTCAAATATGACCTGCCCAATGAGGAGGACTCTAAAGAAGCAGTCTGCCACAGCCACTTTGCTGCACCCAACCCGGACCTTCCAGCCTCCTTGGCACCGTCAGGGGAAAACTGTCTACTAAAGCCTCAGTAATGGTGGACTCCACTCCCTCCAACTGACCTCAATTGGCCCAGGTCAACTTCAGACTGCTGTGCTGGCAGCGAGAATTTCAGGATGAGGAACGCATTAGCTGTTTGTGATTTTCATGTCTGTTGCAGGGATTTGACCCATTGTTAGTGCTAGATTTGGAGTCTTAAAAAACAGATTTATCTTACTGAACTCAAAGTACAACTTGAAGATGTACTCAGCTGTTTACTTAAATTAAAGCGGGAGAAAATGTATCTTTGCAGATCTATTTTTATGTCACTTGCTTTTAGACACGAGATTGTCTCTGGCACAGTAATTCAACTTAGTCTATGTCAAAAACATAGCCTGAAAATGCTCAAAAAAAATTATGAATAGCGGATTGTATTCTATGTGTTCTCAAATTTCTTCTATGATGTAAAATATATAACATAATGTTTTACCTTGGATTTCTAACCTCAGCCCTCAGCCATTTTCCCAATTTTTTTTTTTTTTGTTTTGAGACGGAGTCTTGCTCTGTCTCTCAGGCTGGAGTGCAGTGGAGCTATCTCGGCTCACTGCAAGCTCCACCTCCCGTGTTCATGCCATTCTCCTGCCTCAGCCTCCCAAGTAGCTGGGACTACAGGCACCTGCCACCACGCCCGACTACTTTTTTGTATTTTTAGTAGAGACAGGGTTTCACCGTATTATCCAGGATGGTCTGGATCTCCTGACCTCATGATTCACCCATCTCAGCCTCCCAAAGTGCTGGGATTACAGGCATGAGCCACCTTGCCATGCCCCACTTTCCCAAACTATTAAAAGACCTTCCAAGGTGGGTCAAAAGCATTTTTCAGAGAAGATTATTCCTAACAGTAAAGGATAATAACAGATGGATAAAAATCTCAAATAAATTATGCCTCTATTTGCAGAAGCGTCACTCTCCAGAGTCTCCAAGATCCAGAGAATTTCCATGAGGTAGAGTAGTTTATGGACATTTAGCAAAGTTGGTCCTGACTGCTGTCTCAGCCTCTTAATAGATGTGCAGCTATAGACAATTTACTGGACTTAGAACAGTTATATAAACCTGGGCTGCAAGAAAACGGATAACACTGATTGCAAGAATGGCAACCACTTCTCATTCCTCTCTGATCTGGGCCCTCTGCAATGTACACTTGAGGCTGCTTCCATGGAGGGAAAGATTTTCTTTTCCCAAATCTTGGATCTGGCTGGCCTTATTTGCTCTGCCTCATTCATACTTTTTGTTCTAATAAAATAATTAAGATGTTTAGCGTCTCATCCCAGCCTTTATCTTGTTAAAACTATATCTTATGATATGTCATCTCTCTTTACTATATTTGGTTATATTCATTCTATTCAATACTCAGGTAATTTTTTATCTCTGTTTAATTTAGTGTTTCACCTATACCTTGTCCTAATTTTTTTATTCTTTACATTCTACCGAGCTGTGATTCAAATATGATATTTGAATATGGAAAATGGTGGCCTAGTTTTTCTTCAGAAATTTCTTTTTATTTACTTGTGTTCTTTAGTTTTTAACTTGGTTCCAATATTTGGGAAATATCACATTTGAGATGTCTGTAGTCATGTTATTTCTGTGCTTATTCCATTTTCCCTTGGAGGAAGGTGGACAGCATACAGACTTGACATCCTTGTGATCTATCAGTATCTGAAGGGACCACTTTTTTTCAGTTTGATTACTTCTCTGGCTTATTCTCTTGATTTACTTTAGCTTTCATCAAGTGCTTCTATATTTTTAAACTGTATTCATTATTTTCATAGTTCTTGTAGCTTCTTGAGAACTTTTACTTGTCTACACTAAAATATTTAAAAATATGTAGCCTTTTCTTCTGAAAGCACAAATATGCAGTGTACACATGAGTAGAATATTTCATAGGCATTGGGCAGCATACAACCACATCTTATGAGATATTCCGTTTCTTCATTCAAAACATCTCTCTCAAATATGTAGTAATAGTCACTTGTAAGGGGTAGTTCTTTTGATACTTAAAATTTTCTTTTATGTGCCTTTATGAAAATATATACTTAACTACAGAGAACAGAACTCTGTGCTTCCTTTTAGTATGTCCTTGACCTCACAAAAATAATTCATGAAATCTTATATTTATTTTATAAATTAATTTAATGAAACAAAATTTGTGCATGGCTAAATATTACTTGTTGAGTACAATTTAGAATTTCTACTGTCATTTTAGTGTCCTAAAAGATATGAGCTGTTGAATTTCTGCTCTCATAAAATGAATGATATTGTTAGGCCTAAACCCTTGCCATTTATTTTCCCCCTCTGTCATACAGTGTGTATCTTTGGTTCACTGCTGAAAAATTTTATTAATTTTTCTCTCTTGCTAGTAGTCATACTTTCTAATAAAGTTATCATTACTTGTGTTTATTTAGTTACTGTATGTTAAACATTTGATTTCTGATGGTCTTAATGTCATTTAATATAATTGTAAATATTTCAATTTGTCATTATTAACAAATTTCTGTATTATATGTTTTAGACTCAGCTATTAAGTATATGTGGGTAAATGACTTAGAATAATTTCTAAAACATTGTAGGGGCTACTAAGTACTAATAACCCTGATTCATTAAATTTTTATTCCTTATAATATTCTTTATTGACTAAATTATTTTGTAATCTTATTTAAATTTATTCTTTTCTTTTCTAAATATTTGTGAAAAAGGGGTTAGGCTAATGTGTCATTTTGATAAAACTTCATGTCAAATGATATGTTTCACTGGTTTCTTTTAGATGTAATAGCTTTTTTGACTCAGGCAATACATGCAAGTATGAAGTATAAAAATTATAGTCTCAATCCTTAAGCTGAGTAAAAACTTGGCTATTTATTGATTTTAACAAAGCTACATTATCCCACATAATACGTAAAACTTTCACAAAGCTACATTATCCCACATAACAGGCATACCAGCTGCCTATATCTGGAAACATGGATTGTTACAAATTAGAAGTAAATAACTTGATAGGCCCAATTTAACAAATGAAGCTCAAGAAGTGGGAGATATGAGACCTATAATGAAAGATTAAATTATTTTAAAAATCTTACCACAAAGAAAAATCAGAGTCAAATACTTTAACTGTTAAATTATACAAAATATTTCATAAAAATACCAATCCTTTACAAATACACACCATACATAGATAAGAGATAAACAACCCCTAACTACTTTATGAGGCCAATATTACTATACCAAAGCCAGACAAACCCATCATGTGTTAGGATTAATATGGGTACATACGGCTGATAAATAAAGACACATAATTCTCAAAAAGTACTAATAAGTTAAATACAGAAACACGTAAAAGTAATTATACACCATGGCCAAGTACAATCTTTTTACAAATGAAGTGGCTTAATATCTAAAAACCAATAATTTAATACACAACATTGATAAAGTGAAGAACATAAAATGATCCTTTTAATAGACACAGAAAAGCTTGTGATACAAACAACACTGATTCATTATAAAATCCTTAACATACTAGGAAGGAAAAACTTACTGGAACTACTAAAAAGGATTCATAAAAATTTCCCACTAATATTACACTTGCTGATGAAAGACTAGGCTCTTTGCCTCACAGTTGTGGGAAACAGATAAGCATGGCTACTTTCGCTACTCTACTAAATTGAACTAAAGGTGTTAGGCAGAGAAATTATATAATAAAAACAAATAAAACTTCTAAATTTATAAAATAAACTTTTATTGTAAATGGCATCAACTTATATTCAAGAATTTTTAAAGAGTTTACAAAAATCAACTGGAACTAATAAATGAGTTCAGCAGGTCACAAGATACAAGATAAATGCACAATATTAAATTGCACTTTTATACAGTAACTAAGGGCAATCAGTAAATAAAATTAGAAAAAATAATTCTACTCATTAGCTCAATGTGTAGTGGCTTAAAATTCCAAATATGCATTATGTCTTATTTTCTGTTGGCTACAAATACTGACACAGCTTAGTTGAATGGGTCTACCACAATGTCCTCATGTGTCCGGAATTGGTCGGTTCTTGGTCTCACTGACTTCAAGAATGAAGCCGCGGACCCTCACGGTGAGTGTTACAGTTCTTAAAGGCAGCGTGCCTGGAGTTTTTCCCTTCTAATGTCAGCATGTGTTTGGAGTTTCTTTCTTCTGGTGGGTTCGTGGTCTTTCTGGCTCAGGAGTGAAGCTGCAGACCTTTGTGGTGAGTGTTACAGCTCATAAAGGCAGTGTGGACGCAAAGAGTGAGCAGCAGCAGGATTTATTGCAAAGAGCGAAAGAACAAAGCTTCCACAGTGTGGATGGGGACCCGAGAGGGTTGCCACTGCTGGCTCGGGCAGCTGCTTTTATTCTCTTATCTGGCCCCACCCACATCCTGCTGATTGGTCCATTTTACAGGGAGCCAATTGGTCTGTTTTACAGAGAGCTGATTGGTCCCTTTTCACAGGGTGCTGATTGATGCATTTACAATCCTTGAGCTAGACACAAAGTTCACCACGTCTCTACTAGATTAGCTAGATACAGAGTGTTGATTGGTGTATTTACAAACCCTGAGCTAGACACGGGGTGCTCATTTGTGTGTTTATAAACCTTGAGCTAGATACAAAGTGTCGATTGGTGTATTTACAATCCCTTATCTAGACATAAAGTTTCTCCAAGTCCCCACCAGACTCAGGAGCCCAGCTGGCTTCACCCAGTGGATCCCGCACCAGGGCCGCAGGTGGAGCTGCCTGCCTGCCAGTCACACGCTGTGCTCCCGAACTCCTCAGCCCTTGGGTTGTCGATGGGACTGGGTGCCATGGAACAGGGGGTGGAGCTCGTTGGGGAGGCTCGGGCCGCACAGGAGCCCTTGGCAGGAGTGGGGGAGAGGCTCAGGCAAGGTGGGCTGCAGTTCCCGAGCCCTGCCCCGTGGGGAGGCAGCTAAGGCCTGGCGAGAAGTCGAGCACAGCAGCTGCTGGCCCAGGTGCTAAGCCCCTCACTGCCTGGGGCTGGCGGGGCCAGCTGGCCGCTCCAAGTGCGGGGCCGCCAAGCCCACGCCCACCCGGAACTCGCGCTGGCCCGGAAGCACCGCGGGCAGCCGCGGTTCCTGCCCGCTCCCCGCAAGATAAGGGAGCCGGCTCCGGCATTGGCCTGCTGAGAAAGGGGCTCCCACAGTGCAGCGGTGAGCTGAAGGGCTCCTCAAGCGCGGCCAGAGTGGGCACCAAGGCTGAGGAGGCACCAAGAGTGAGCGAGGGCTGTGAGGGCTGCCAGCATGCTGTCACCTCTCACTCATGAGACTGAAGCTGTGTCTCAACTGAAGCTTGACTGGGAAGGATGCACTTCTGAGCTCAATCTGGTTAGTTGTGCATTATTGTTTTGACTCAGTTCTTAGTTTCTTTCTGTCTTTGGTCAGGGCACTCTCTCTATTCTCTGTCACACAAGCCTGTAAAAATGAAAGCTTAAAACACTGAAGCTCGCTTCTCCAGAGCAAAGTATGCGACAGACAGAGAGAAAGACAGGAAAAAAGGAAGTAAACAATATCACAAGAGAGAGAAAGTAAGAAGCAAGTGACAATCTTTTCATAATCAAATATTGGCAGTGACATTCCCTATTTTCCAATGTATTCTACTGCCATGAAGTGAGTCACTAACCACTTACTGTTTACATTTGGGTGTGTATAGTTGGAAATAAAAATTATTATGAGCCATCATGAAGGCTGTGCACTACGTATGCCAAGGTGAGACAAATGGGCCTGATTCTAAATATAACGAGAAGGTACTACAATGTGTGTTGTTGTTATTGTTGTTGTTCTGGCCAAAGAATAACAACATCTAAATTTTATTCAATTTCAATGTTTTCATGGTGGAGTTTGAAAAATAAATTCAAGAGGGGACATGACTTTCTCAAGATTCAAGTTATAAAACCCAGGCATGTTTGAGAGATATTCAAGCAATGTCCCATCCCTTGTAGTTTCTTTCTCTAAGTTTATGCAGTAGCTGTGTTTAATATCAAACCCAACAGTCATGCGTATCATTTTATACATATCTCATGAGATCCCTTGCAGCTGGATGCCACCATAATCCCCACTGTGCAGGCTGTGAGACTATGGAGCCCCTGAGAGGCACAATGACATACTTGGCATCACATAATTAATACATTAAACATAAAGACTTTAACTCAGCTTGTATCCTCAAACTTGTGGCTCTGGCTGCATTCCATTTCCTCCGGCACTGGTGCAGGAGGTGCTGTATTTGCATAATTGTGCACAAGTAATCAGATGACTTGGGAGAGAATGGTGAGCAGTCAGCAGTGCAGAAAAGCCTTTGAGTAGGTCTTATTGAAGGAAGATAGGTCTTATTGAAAGAAGAATAATACCTTCAAGAAGTGACCTCATTTCTTTGGTGAAAGGTCCTAACAGTACTAAGTATTCTGGTAACCAAAAACTCACATTCTAAAGACAGTCCACCATGCAGCACTGTTGGCCAGAATCTCTCAAGAGAGAAAGATGTTCTGCTGTATAACAACTTTCTGAGGCTCTTTCTTGTGAGGTTCTGTTCCTCACAAGTAGCACCTTCTAGCTATGTCTTCACACGACAGAAGGGGCATGAATATTCCTTTCAACCTCCGTCACACGGGCACTATTATTTTCTCGTTAACATGCAGCCCTCCTGACTTAATAACTTTCTCAAAGTTCCAATAACTAATAGTATCACACTGAATCCACGTGTGGATTAAGTTTTTAAATATGAATGTGGAGAGTGAGGAACACAAATATCCAGACCATAGCAAAAAGTTAATAAGCAATAACAATTGCAGTGGACAGTATTATTAATGCTTGGGATATGGGAATTTGATGTTTCTATCACAAAGGTTAAACAATGGTTTATCCTTGGCCGGGCATGATGGCTCAAGCCTGTAATCCAAGCACTTTGGGATGTCAAGGCAGGCGGATCACAAGGTCAGGAGATCGAGACCATCCTGGCTAATACGGTGAAACCCCGTCTCTACTAAAAGTCCAAAAACATTGCTGGGTGTGGTGGCGGGCGCCTGTAGTCCCCGCTACTAGGGAAGCTGAGGCAGGAAAAAGGTGTGAACCCAGGAGGTGGAGCTTTCAGTGAGCTGAGATCACACCAGTGCACTACAGCCTCGGAGACACAGCAAGACTCCATCAAAAAAATAAAATTAAATTAAAACATATAACAAAATTAAGGTCCAATTAAAGGTAAATATATATAGCAAAAAAAAAATTCAAGCTCTGATAAGGTTAATTGTAACAGATTGTGCCAGAATTTTGAGATTTCTGGAGATGGACAGAGCCCAAGAGTTTCCTTCTATAACAATTTCTGTGAAGTTTCTTACACTCTTATTCAATTTGAACGTGGATAAATGGGTTTTCTCTGTTTTGTTATTTAAGAGATTCATGATAAGGAAGGCCTATTTATGCATGATTCTTAAACAATTATTGAGTCAGTGGTGTCTGCTGAGGAAGGGCACAGAATCTCATGCCCACAGAAGCATGATGTTCTGTCAGATAGGAGACTTCTCCCAGAGCCAGAACTTCATCTTTCAAATGGAATTAGAGATTTTCACAGGCATACATTGCTCTGAAGCCCTATCAGAGGCTTAGCACTGAGAATATGACCAAAGAAGGTGACTAATAAACATATGACCTAGTACTCTGATCTACAGTGATTCTACCCTCTCAAATAGCTCTTCCCTGGCTCTGGAATCTTTTCTGGATTCATCTACCAGAAACAGATACACTGAAAGATTGAGAAGAAGCTTTTATTCTCACTGTGAGTCTTGCCCTGTCTCACCATCTTCTCTAGAAGTGCAATGTTCTAACTATTCCTGAGAGACTTCATCTCAGGTAGCTCTCTCTGACAACATAATTGAGAAGAGAAACGAGCAAGACTCAGATTATTTTGAAGGCTTGTCTAGGGTTCTTACATGATTTATGTCTCCAATTTATGTCAATATTGACAAATATAGATTCATCTCTAGATGGTAGAAAAACAGAAGGAGGAGCCTCTGCTCACAGAGAAAATAAAAGATGAATTCAATGTTTTGTAGAGCCAGCTTATTTTAAACCATGGGGCATTTAATCTTTTTAGAAAAAAACAAAAGCAATAGGGTTTTTTGTTTTTGTTTTTGCTTTTGCTTTTGTGTTTTCGTTTTGGTTTTTTTTTGTTTGTTTGTTTTTTCCCTGAAGCAACTCAACTGTGGCCTCAGACAACTGGGCACTGAGAACGCATGCTCCTCACTAGAATTTCATTACTACATTGCAGAGAAATGGGATAATTACAAAGGATTTTTTTTTTTTTGAGATGGAGTCTTCCTCTGTCATCCAAGATGGAGTGCAGTGGCATCATCTCAGCTCACAGCAACCTTGGTCTCTCAGGTTGAAGCAATTCTCCTGCCTCAGCCTCCCAAATAGCTGGGACTACAGGCATGTGCCACCTTGCCTGGGTAATTTTTATATTTTTAGTACAGACTGGGTTCCACCATGTTGGCCAGATGGTCTCGATTTCCTGACCTCGTTATCCACCCTCCTTGGTCACCTAAAGTGCTGGGTGTGAGCTGCTGTGCCCAGCCCAAAGGATTCTTAAGGGTGATATGGGGGATGGAATGGAAAAAATAAACTTAGTCTTTGCACTTCCACCTGGTCTAACTAACCCTACTCTCATCCTATCCCAAAATTATTGCCAGACTTTTCTGGAGTGTGCCAGGGGCAATTCAGAAGGAAAAGAGGTTATTCATGCCTATCCATTTCCCATAGCTCCTGAGATCTAAGTCGTTCACTCCCCTGGTTTCAGGTTGTTGCTCCCCTTCTATATCCTCAGAATTAATGTGATCCATTCCAATACTTATAATTGTACCTTTATCTGATCCCCTCCTATTTTGCTGTAGACATTTTATGTAGTAGATCCAGTTGTAATAGAGACAAGAATGTTTATATACACCATAATCAGAACTAAATTGGAGTTCCATAACCCCTTTTTTGACTGGGCTGCTACTCAGAAATCATACAAACCAGGCTGCCTGGAGGTTGCAGTTAGGAGAAATCACATCTTGCCCAGGAATGTCAGTGTGGAAACTCAGATTTGGAAAATAGATTCCTATAGCCCCAATCATTTTGCAACACTTCTGCAGAGTTAAAAGAAAGCCAGTATCTAACAGAAAATCTTGAGCTTGCAGAATAACAGAAAAGAAAAAAAAAACAAAAACACAACTTGCCAAAACACTGAAACTCCCTCTACTTATGAAATAAACAAACTGGCTTAAATTGGTGGAATCATTATGGCCAAATGGTGTTTTGGCAGAATCACCTTGCTGAGGTCACCGTCTGAATTTTCACTGCCTGTTTCATCACAACTCCCCTTCAGTTTGCCCATGACATCCATGAGGAGGCAATGAGCTTGAGAGTAACGTTTCAGTATAAAATTGCTTTCTCTTAAAAACCTGATGTCATAGTATTGGCTTCTAGCACTTCAAGAAGTGAGCTCCTTTTACTCAATAACAATGTTATCTATATCTTAGAGACAGTCAACAGGAGATAATCTCTTCTGGGACCAAAGAAGGTGACTAATAAACCATTTAATCAACACATTACCTAACCAAAAGCTGTGGACCCTGATGAGGAAAATAAGTTAAAATGAGACTATTGGCTCATTTTAATAGATATGGTGATAAAAGCAAAAAAAAAAAAAAAAAGAGAGAATTTAAGCGGTCTCAAATACCTAAAAGATGACATGGATTAGCTTCAAGTAACACATAATGTGGCTGGAGTCAGCTGATCTTTATGCTGAAAGTGTCAACAGTAGTGACAAATACTTCAAGTAACGGGTCAAAAGTCTAAGACAGTCATTCTGCCAGAAATGGTCTGGGACTTCCCCATACATGGGACACGTAGATCAACTTTCTCCAAGAACCACCAACCTGGCATGCAGTGATGACCTCTGCAGTAGACAGGGATTTAGGCTTGATTGTTGTTCATCTCTTTGGAGACATAACCCTAATTGTGAACTTCTAAATTAATGGCCTGACAATTAGATCAGCAGCTAAGATAAATTTCAGTTTGCAGCCCCAAAGAAGATGTTCTTAATTAGACAGTTAATCATTTTCAATATGGAAGCCTAAACACGTAGAATGTGGCAATAACCCGGAACTCTCAGTTCTGACAATTGAGTGAAGTAATCACCCCAGATTCAGGTTCCTCATTGGCTGACAATGAGATCAAACACCCACACCAGCCCAGTGAACACCATGAGGTGTCATCTTCCCTGGCCCATTAGTGAACCAGGAACAGATATTTAGAAAATATTCAGTAAATTGGGGAGTCCCACAGAGTCAGAAAGTTTGCTTGAGATAGTAGAGGGTGGCATAAAATTTCTACCGAATATGAATTTTAATTTTTACTTTAGTGCCGTTTCTATTTTAGTCTAATTTCCTTCTAGAATATGTTATTTCTATTTACCAAGTGGCCTCCTGTGGTCTTTTTCATAGAGTTCAAATCGACCCATCTAAAAACAGAAAGATCAAGCTAACGACCTCCCTCAGGGGTCAGAATTCAGTTTCACAGCTCTGTAGCAAGCTCATTGTTGACTTACAAATTAGTGTAACCAATAGTAACGTCATGGTGACCATAACTCCAACATCCCAAAAAGTACCTCAAGTTAGAGGCTGACTTCATTTATCAGAGGATTCAAATGGCAAAATCAAGCTTTACTAGATCACTGGATTACTGGAAGAAGTGAGCAATGCGAATCTGCAATATAGTTTCACTAAACTTTAATAGGACAGCAAGACTGTAGATATTTTAGCCCTCTCAAAATATGAATCTTCTGATCCTTTCATCTAGAATCTCTATGTGTGCCATAAAGTCCTAACTCTGCTTGTGCCTATACTTTCTGTTCATGCAGAGATTAAAAGACAAACAGGTGGGAGCTTAGTGTTTTAGCGTTTTTCCTGAGAATCTGTCTAGCCTAGAGCATCCCCATTTTTTTCTAGATTCCAAGGAGTACTATCACTATCCTAATTCTCAGTGTCTTGTTTCCAAGTATTTCCTCCTACGATTGTCAGCGTGACTACCTTTTTACCCCACTGATAGTGTTTGCTCCAGGTGAACTGGGTAGTTCATTTTTATTTAAATGCTTCCATAAGCGTTAAGCTATTAATTTAAGATTTCTTTGTTTTTTATAAAGTAATTCTGCTGTTTCCCTCAGAGCTCAACTTTCACTAAGTCTCATAAATTTTATTATGTTTTGTCTAAATGTCTATTTATGTTAAAATATTCTCTGACACTATTTGTACATTTTTTATTCATTAATTATTTAAGATTGTGTCATTTAATGCACACATGTTTGCATTTCCCAAATTTCTTGCTTTTTTGGTCTCTAATTTTCTCTTTTGTGATTAGAAAACATTCATTTTATTATTTCAATCTTTCAATTTTATTGATTTTTTTTATGATGCAGCATATTCTCCATTCTAGAGAATGTTCTATGTGCATTTGGGAAGAATATACATTCTGATTTGGGGTGAAGAGTTCTCCATATATCTCTAGTTTTATTTGGTTTATGTTATTCATGTCTTCTATTTCCTTGTTTCTCTTATGTCTAGTTCTTCTACCCAATAGTGTAAGTGGGGAAGTGAAGCTTGCAATTTTTATTGTTGAAACTATTGTTGCAACTATTTCTGCCTTTATTTCTATCAGTTTTGCTTTATGTACTTCTGTGAACTTTTGTTACATTCATATATGTTAATTTATTTTCCTCATGAATTTATCCTTCTAATTATAATCTATCTTCATCTCTAGTAATAGTATTTGTTGTCTTAAAGTATATCCTAATTTTTTTATTTTTGGTTTTTCTGGGTGCATAGTAGGTGTATACCTTTATGAAGTATATAGAATATTTTGATACCGTCATACAATGTGTAATAATTACATCAGAGTCAATGGGGTATTCATCACATGAAGTATTACTATTGGATTTCAAATAACCAAATTATACAATTTCTGTTATTTTAAAATGTACACTTAAATTATTCTTAACTAGAGTCACCTTGTGCTGTCAAATGCTAGAACTGATTCATTCTTTCTAACTATATTTTTATACCCATTAACCATTCCCACCTCCCCGCCCTCAACCTTCTACTACTTCTCTCAGCCTCTGGAGACCATCATTCTACTCTTTATCTCCATTAATTCTTTGGTTTTAATTTTTAGCTTTAACAAATAAGTGAGAACGTGTGAAGTTTGTCTTTCTATACCTGGCTTATTTCACTTAATAAAATGACCTTCAGTTTAACCCATGTTTTTACAAATGACAGAATCTCATTCATTTTTATGTCTGAATAGTACTACATTGTGTATATGTACCACTTTTTTGTTTATTCATCTGTCGATAAACACCTATGTTACTTCCAAATCTTGGCTATTGTGAATAGTGTTGCAGTAAACACAGGAGTACAGCTATCACTTCAATACACAGATTTTTCTCTCTTTTGGATATATACCTAACAGTGAAATTGCTGGATTGTACAGAAGCTCTATTTTTAGTTTTCTGATGAACCTTCAAGCTGTTCTCCATAGTGGTTCCACCAACTTACATTCCCACCAACAGCATATGAGGGTTCCCTTTTCTCGGCATGCTTGTCAGCATTTGTTATTGCCTTTTAGCTAAAACCCACTTTAACTGGGGTGAGGTAATAGCTCATTGTAATTTTGATTTGCATTTCTCTGATGATTCATGATGTTGATCATCTTTTCATATACCTATTTGCCATTTGCGTGTCTTTATTGGAGTAATGTCTGTTTACATATTTTGCCTATTTTTTAAAATAGGATTATTAGATTTTATTTTCTATAGAGTTATTTGAGCGCCTTCTATGTTTTGGTTACAAATCCATTTTCAGATAGGTAGTTTGAAAATATTTTCTTTCATTCTGTGGGTTGTTTTCTGACTTTGTTGATTCTTTTCTGTGCCATGCAAAATTTTATAACTTGGTGTGATACCAATTTTCCATTTTGCTTTGGTTGCCTGTGCTTGTGAGGTGTTACTCAAGAAATCTTTGCTTAATCCAAGGTTTTTTAGAATTTCCCCAATGTTTTCTTTCAGAAGTTTCATAGTTTGCAGTTTTACATTTAAATATTTAATCCATTTTGATTTAGTTTTTGCACATGGCAAAAGATAGAGGTCTAGTTTTATTCCTCTGCATATGGATATCCAGATTTACCATCACTGTTTATTGAAGAGACTGAGTTTTTATTCTTAATATATTTTCTTGGTGCCTATGTAAAAAATGAGTTCACTGTAGATGGATGGTTTGGTTCTGGGTTCTCTATTCTGCTCCATTTTCCTGTGTGTCTGTTTTTATGCCAGTACTATGCTGTTTTGGTTACTACACATCGGTAGTATAATTTTGTGTAATGTAATAATGTATGCTATGTAATGGGATTCCTCCAGTTTTATTCTTTTTGCTCAGGATAGCTTTAGCTATTCTAGGTCTTTTGTGATTATATATAAATTTAAGATTTTTTAGAGCTGTTGTATTTATTTGTGTGAGGAATGTCAATGGTATTTTTACAGAAATTGCGTTGAATCTGTAGCTTGCTTTGTGTAGCATGGACATTTTAATATTGATTCTTCCAATCCATAAACACAGAACACTGACTAATACAATCTGCAAATGGGTAGTTTGACTTCCTCTCCTCTTATTTGAATGCCTTTATTTTTTTCTCTTGTCTGATTGCTCTGGCCAGGATTTTCAATACTATGTTGAACAGGGCTGGTAAGAGAGGGCATCTTTGTCTTGTGCCAGTTTCCAAGAAAAATGCTTCCAGTTTCACCCATTCAGTATAAAGTTGGCTGTGGGTTTGTCATAGATGACTTTTATTATTTCAAAGCATGTTTCCTCAATACCTAGTATATGGAGAGTTTTAACATAAAGTGGTTTTGAATTTTAATGAAAGCTCTTTCTGCATCTATTACAATAATCATGAGGTTTTTGTCTTTCGTTCTGTTTGTATTATGAATCACATTTATTGATTTGCATATGTTGAACCAACCTTGCATCCCAGGGAAAAAGCCTACTTGATTGTGGTGGATAGGCTTTTTGGTGTGCTGCTGGATTTGGTTTGCCAGTATTTTATGGAGAATTTTTGCATCAATATTCATCAAAGATATGAAATTTTTCTTTCTTTTGCTTTTCTTCCAGGTTTTGATATCAGAAGGGTGCTGGCCTCATAGGATGAGTGAGGAAGATGATCCTCCTCAAATTTTTGGGAGTTTCAGTAGGAATGATACCAAATTCTTCTTTGCATATCCAGTAGAATTTGGCTGGGAATTCGTCTTTTCCTGGGCTTTTTAAAATTGATAGTCTATTTATTACAGATTCAATTTTGGAGCATGTTATTGGTCTGTTCAGGGATTCAATTTCTTCCTGGTTCAGTCTTGGAAAGGTGTACATGTCCAGGAATTTATCTATTTGTTCTAGGTGTTGTAGTTTTTTTGCATAAAGGTGTTCATCATATTCTCCGATGTTTATTTCTATTTCTGAGGAGCCAGTGGTAATATCCCCTTTGTTGTTTCTGATTGTCTTTGTTTGGATCTTCTCTCTTTTCCTCTATATTAGTCTAGCTAGTAGTCCACATTTAAAACAAAACCTACTCCTGGATTCATTAATCTTTTAGTTTCTTTGTGTGTGTCCTAATCTCAGTTTATCTCTGATTTTGGTTATTTCTGTCTTCTTCCAGCTTTGGGGTTGGATAGCTCTTCATTCTCTAGATGTTTTAGTTGTGATATTGAGTGGTTAAATTGAGATCTTTGTTACTTTTTGTGGTGGGTGTTCAGCAACATCAGTTTTTTTCTCAACACTGATTTAGTTGCATCTCAGGGATTCTGGTAGGTTGTGTCTTTGTTCTCATTACTTTCAAATAACTTTTTGATTGATGCCTTAATTTCATTATTCACACAAAAGTCATTCAGGAGTGAGTTATTTAATTTTTATGTAATCATATGGTATTGAGTATTGGTTTTCTCAACTTTTACCTCCAATTTTACTGTACTCTGGTCTCGGAGAGTGGTTGTCATAATTTGAATTCTTTTATAATTTCTGAGAACAGTTTTATGTCGATTAAGTGGTTGATTTTAGAGTATGTGCCATGTGGCAATGAGAACGTATATGTTGTTGTTTTTGGTGGAGAGTTCTGAAAGTGTCTGTTACATCCATTTGATCCAGTGCTGCATTCAGATCTTGAATATCTTGTTAATTTTCTGCCTTAATAATCTAATATTGTCAATGGGTTGTTGAAGTTTTTCACTATAATTGTGTAGGAATCTAAGTCTTTTTAAAGACCTCTAAGAACTTGCTTTATGAATTTGGGTGTTCCTGTGTTGGGTGTGTATATATTTAAAATGTATATATTTAAATATGAATACATATATTCTTGTTGAATTTAACCCTTTAGCATTTTGTAATGCCTTTTTGCCTTTTTAAATCTTTGTTGTTTTAAAGTCTGTTTGTCTAAACTTAGGGTTGCAACCCATTCTTTCTGCTGTTTTCCATTTGCTTGGTAGATTTTTATCCCGTCATTTTCAGCCTATGAAACTGATTGCATGTGAAATGAGTCTTGATGACAGCATATCATTGGTTCTTTGTTCTTTATCCAGTTTCCCACTGTTTGCCTTTTAATTGGAACATTCAGCCCATTTACATTCATAGTTAGTGTTGATATGTGTGCATTTGATGCTGCCATTATAATGGTAGCTGCTTATTATGCAGACTTGTTTGTGCGCAACTGGTCTGTATACCTCAGTGTGTTTTTTTAGTGGCTAATAAAGGTTTTTTTCACCTATATTTAGTTCTTCCTTCAGGAGCTCTTGTAAGGCATGTCTTGTAGTAATGAATTTCCTCAGCATTTGCCTGTTTAAAAAGAACTTTATTTCTCCTTTACTTATGAAGCTTAGTTTGGCCAAATACGAGATTGTTGATTGGAATTTATTTTCTTCAAGGAGGTTAAATATTGGTATTGGTCTCTTCTGGCTTGTAGGATTTCTGCTAAAAGGCGTACTTTTACACTGATAATCTTTCCTTTGTGGTTGACCTCCCTTTCCTCTCTAGCTGCATTTGACATTTTTTCTTTTATTTCATGCTTGAACAATCTGATAACTATGTGTTTTGGTGATTATTATATTATGAAGTATCTTACTGGAGTTTTCTGCATTTCCTAAATTTGAATGCTGGCCTCTCTAGCCAGCATTCCCCAGGTTGGGGAAGTTCTCATGAATGATATCCTAAAATATGTTTTTCAAATGGCTTCCATTCTCCCCACCTGTTTCATGAACACCAGTGGGTCATACCTTTGGTCTCTTTACATAATCTTATATTTTTCAGAGGCTTGGGGGTTTTTATTACTCTTTTTTATTTCTGTCTGTATGTCTTACTTCACATAAACAGTCTTCAAACTCTGAGATTCTTCCTTAGCTTTGTCTATTCTACTATTAATAGTTGTGAATTTCTTATAAAAAAATTTAGTGTGATTTTTTTAGCTCTCTCAGGTTAGTTATGCTCTTAATACTGGCTCTTTTGTCTCTCAGCTCCTGTATCATTTCATTATGATTCTTAACGTTTTTGAATTGAGTTTCAAGTTACTTCTGCATTTTAATGATCTTTATTTCTATTCATATTCTGAATTTGATTTCTGTAATTTTAGCTATCTTGGACTGATTTATAACCTTACTGGAGAGGTACTGTGACCATTTGAAGGAAAAGAGGAACTCAGGTTTTTTGAGTTGTCAGAGGTTTTGTGCTTGTTCTTTCTTATCTTTCTGGGGTGATATTTCTTTAATATTTGAAGTTGTCAACTTTTGGATTTTTCCTTTTATTCTGCTTGATGACCTTAAGGGTTTAATTGTGTTATAAGGTTGGCTCAGTCAAGTGGTTTTGTGTGTATTCATGCAGGCGAAGGTGGCTGCTCAGGGCTGAGGAGAGTATGCTGTTTTTTGTGCTTAGTTGTACTCAAATGACAGTGTTGACAAAGGAGCAGGGTGCTGGTGTTGTGGGGCAGATGGCCTCTGTTTCCCCCAAGATTCTGTCTGCAGTGGTGGTATAGCAGGAGAGGGGGCCTGGAGTACACTCCTACCAACAGCAGTGCCAGGGCAGAATGCATATGCACATGTGCACTGACAGGACAGGGAAAGCAAGATCCTTCCATGCACACACACACACACACACACACACACCAGCATAGTGATGTGTGGGGTGGCAATGGGCCTTGGGGGGAAGCTGCAGTGAGGAGAGGCAGCAGGCAGGCTGATGCCTGGATGGGGTCACCCCACTGGAGCTGTCTACTAGTCAGACATGATCTGCCAGTTCAGGATCTATGATGCAGGCCCCCAGGGTACTCAAGGCTGCACTGCAAGCATGCAGGGCCGAATTGGGGTCGCAGGAGAGGCCAGCACACCAACGCAAGCTCAGGTCAAAACAGCCCCATCTGATGGGCCACCACCCTGCAGACTTTTTGTCCAAAATTTCCCCTAGGGCTAACGTCTCTTATGGGAGCAAGTTAAGCTTATTGGTGTGGGCATCCCTGGACATGCTTCACTACACATGTTCCCACAATAAACCCTCTTGGCTGTGCACTGGCTGGTGTGCTGCCCCTGTCACTTCTCTAAGCAGCTCTTCCTTTCAACTCATTTTCCATGATGGTCAGAGGGTCTCTGCCAGTGGGATTCCAGAGGCCAGTCAGGAAAGCAGGTAGCTCCTTGCCACTTAAACTCACCTGTTTTTCTCAGAGTCACTGGGGGCCAGAAATCAGTTCCACTGTGCTTTAGCCCTGTGCAGGGTTCCCAGCTTCTGAATCTTAAGTTCAGATGTTGTGTCTTTCCTCCATCACTATCAGTACCTGCCCTCGGTTAAGAGTGTGCCAGTCATCCTGGTCCCTTGGTGTCAGCTGTTCCACCTTGGTTTGTCTATTCAGCCATCTTGCTCAAATACACAAAGTCTTATAAATCAATAATAAATAGACAATTGACTACTTGAAAAATGTGCAAGGAATTTGAATTAAAAATTTCTACAGATAAGAAGCAAAATTTGTCATTAAATTTAAAATATGTGACATTATTAGTTTAGAGAAATGCAAATCAAAAGCTCAATGACATACTTACTAGAAGACCTGTAAAAGGCAATAAAAAAGGTTGCCAAAGATATCAAAAATATGAAAGCCTCACACATTGTATGTGGGAGTGTAAAAAACAACCGATTTAAAGAACAATTTGGCAATTATTCAAAATGCTATAAATAGTATCACCATATGACTGAGACATTTTACTCTGTTACGTACTCAAAAGAAATGAAAACCTATGACTACACAAAGAATCAGATGTAAATGATCAAAGGAGCAGTATTTGTAATAGCCCAAAGGGGATAAAACCAAAATATCCATCAAATAATAACAGAAAAAATAACGTGTGGTGTGTCCATACAATAAAATACTATGTGCCAAACAAAGAAAATGAAGTAATAATACCTGCTATGTCAGGAAAAAACCTCAAAATCACTAAAGTAAGTAAAATAAACCAAATGCAAAAGGGCAGATAATTTATGATTTCACTTAAAATAACTTTTAATAAAAGGCTTATATATAAAAACAGGCTAATGATTGCCTATGACCAGGGTAATGAAATCAGTAAGTACAAAAGAGATTAATTTCTTTTTCCATAGTGATAAGGTGATTTCAAAATTAGATTGTGGTTATGGGTGTCTGTAAATACACTTTAAGAACTTGGAATTGTACACTTAAAACATGTGATGGTTTTGTTATAAGATTATATCCCTCTAAAATGTTTCCAAATGAAACTGTTGACTTTTGGAGAACTAAGTCACAGACTGTAAAACCAAACCCATTTATTGTTCATCTCAAGGCATGTTAAATAAAGAGGAAAAGACAAAGATATAGTTATAACATTAAAATCTTCATGGCAAATAGTTATAAGAAAAAAATTACAATTGTAAAATGTATTAATAGACATAAATTACCTGCTTAGATTTACCAGGCCAGAAATGTAAATTAAATAATAGTACACTATTGAAGACCACTCTGAGTCACTGATTATTAGAAACTTGTTATGATGTCATCATAAGGTTAAAATATTCCTTATCAAAAATGACTCACAGCAAAAATGTTAAATAAAGTGTGTTAGTGGCACCCCTGTCCACAGTTGCTGGTACTTTTAGTGTATGGCCAATTAGAAAGCTGCTCTTTTGTCCCTCATTTGTAACCAATTTCAACACTCAAATTCAATATTGAACTCCTAAATTTATTGATAAAACATGTGAGAAGATGTTTAAATTATATATTTAAAAGATATTATGAAAATAAAAAATCTTAGCAAACATAGGGAGAATTATAAACTAACATTTATCATACATACCCACCACAAGGCTTCAGCAATTCTCACATTTTTTATCTTTCATTTTTAATTATCAACTTCAATTATTCTGGTAATATTTTCAAGTAAGCATATTATGTTGTCAGTTTGTAGAAATTTGAGTACCTATATCTAAGAAATAAAAAGAAAAATAAAAATAGTACTATAAAATCTAAGTAAATACAAGTATTTTCTAATATTGTACTAAAGAGTTTCTTGATTCTTTACGTGCAAAACAGTAGAACTTAGCAACCTCCAAGACTTTATGAGAAATAACAATTTAAGACTAATATTTATCCTGGAGACTCAAAGTGACTATAAATAAATATATCTTTAGTTAATAAAGCTTAAAAATAAAGTATTAATAAAAACACATTTTGAAGATGGCTGACACCTTTGTTACTAGACATGGGGCTTGTGCTGTAAATAACTAGTTTAAAAGTCCATGGAAAAGGGATTTTCAACCAAAAAGTCTATAGAAAACAAAAAATTTTGGTTTTTCTGAACTCAGGATGTGAGGCCAGCTTTTAAAGCACTGAATTTAAAAAGCCCTCAAGACCCTAAGCTTGATAAGCACGTCACCAGCAGGTCTCATTTTTCAGCTCTGTGCACCAGGTGGCATGTCTAGCAAAATGTCCCCTCTCATGTCAGGTTTTTTCTATGAACTCAGAATGACCACTGTCCCTTAGTATGCAGCCCTGCAGTGGACCCAAAAATGACAATCAATCAGGTCCAGAGTTGCTCATTATGGCCTTTCCAGAATGTAATTATCTAAGGACAATTCTCCCCCTTGTAAAATTAAGAAAGTATCAGAATATTTGCCTAATTTTTGATAACATCATACTGTGAGCCACAAAAAAGCAAGAATTTAAAATGTAAGGGATTATCTGGATCCTAGGGCACAGAAATACACCTCAAATAGAATAGTTTCACACACGATTTTATATGTGGACTTCCTGTGTGGAAGAAAAGAATGTGGGGGTCAATAGTAGAGAAGTCTGTATGTAGTGGAATTTTAAGAAATCAGAGAGGCCGATGGGGTTCAGGAGGGTATTTATTAATTATTTAGGTGCACTGGTCCAGTGGATTAACATCCAAAGAATGAGTCCTGAACAAAGAGTTAAGTTACCTTTTAAGCATTTCATGGGTGGGGAGAGATTTGTGCAGGGAGAATCATACTACAGAAGCAAGAAACAAAGACAGTTATTCAATTGAGACATGCATTACATTATTTCTTACTTTTCAAGGAAAAACCTGTTTTGTGACTTGAATTTATCTGTCTAGTGACCTTGCAGCTTCACAGCTTGGGAAACAGGGTCTTCACAATCCCTGGGAAAGGAGGAGAGATAAGGATCACTAGCCACAGAAAAACAGGCAGTTAGTTTTTAAAGGACTCCAGCTCTTACTCTTTCTCAACAGAAGTTGGGTTTTCTTACACACAAGTGAGTTTCTGCTTACACACTCTTTAATCTCTTATAATTCCTGTTCCATTCTCCCCATTGGTGCTTTTTATAACAGAGGTGTTAATAGAAAGCACCATTATTTGCCAAGTCTTCATGGAGCTGAGCTTTTTCTTCTTCTGGCGGTGGCTGATATCTGGTTAATGCATCAACTGTACAGACTGTACAGTAGTGTTTTGGGCTACCATTGCCTCCATAGTTGACTGAATACTCCTAATAAACAGAGACAAAAGGCAAGGGAGGATAAGGCAGATGCAAAGAATAAGCAAGAACCTACTAATGAGGGTTTAGAATTTTTCAAATGCTGAGAACCATCCTCCAAACAAGGAATCCGGGGACTACCTGGATCAAGTCTGAAGTGGAACCTGGGCCAACTTGTGCATTCTAGCTGTAATTTTTATGACCAGTAATATTGATTTCTTGGCTATTGATTTCTAGGCAACAGTTGGTTAAATTAAATTTTCTACATATTCCTCCTTCTGAGGATAAGAGATAATTTAAAGCCAGCCTATTTTGATATATAGCATTTCCTTTTTGTGTTGCTTGTATTGCCAATAAATCTAGTGCCCTCGATATTTCATTGGTTATGATTTGAAGGACTGCCTGCAACTTCATGATGCGGCTGAGGATACAGATTATGGTGCAGTACCCTCATGACCTGTCTTGCACCTAGGTAGCTGGCCCATAGCATGTCATGATTCTTTCAGGAGGTCATTTATTACCTTTTTAGTCTCCTGTGTCCACATCTTTTTTGATATTTTTGTTACTTTTGTGATTATGCTTTTTCTAGTTCTTCTTTTATTTTTATTATAAACTGGATATTCTAAGAATTTCCCTTGCTTTAGAGGAATTAGAAAGAAGGATGGCTTGATTGCTTTTAACAGACATGCCCCTGCCCATTTTGCTGGCAGTTGCCAATATGCCCATGCTCCACAGATCCAATATAGGCCAGAGGGTGCCTTTCAAGCATTTGAATCATCTACCTGATGCCAAGTGCAGCTTAGAGTAAGGAATCCAGAGAAAGTGTTTGGATCTGGTAAGTAGGAGTCATTCTGGGCATTTCTTCATAGAGTTTTGTTTTTAGTCTCGTAATAATACTGTTGCCCTAGGCAGGTTGTTTTTCCTACTGCCTCTGTGAAAGCCTTTCCCCATCGAGTGATACAGTACTTTCCAGTTATGGAGATTTCTAACAATCAAACACTGGCTGAGGCTGTTGGTTCACTGGCAGGGTTAAGCAGAGTGAAGTTATCTTGTGGCATTAATTCCTTTGCCTCCCATTGCCACTCATTCTCCATATTAGTTTCTCTACATACATAGCATGAAGAAATTTTTAAGCTGCCATCTGTGTCTTCACCTAGTTGAGCAAATAAGTTTTTGGTTGATGGGGGAACCTCGGGCACTGGCTGATCAAAATGCTTACAGAATGACTTGGTATTGAGGGGTTGGATGCATTTGAGTCCTTATAGTATTTTTGACAATTAGTAGTGGAACTCCAAGACCTGCTCCTTGTCTATCAACTCGTAATAGTGCTGTCTGTCCTGTAGACCAAAAAGGTAGCTCTGGCTTTAAGATAGTAAAATTTAAAGGATCGCATGTCCTTGTCTTACAATCTGGTTTTTAGGATTATGAACATACGTGGCATGGCAGTCATCAAAGAAGAAATAGGCCCTTTTTAGAAGGGTGGGATTTCTTTGGTTTGAGCTATAAGCTTTCCTTCTGTTTCTCCCTCTGATTTAATATGTACCTCAAAATAGAATTAATAGGGTAAGAGCCCAGGCTCATAACATACATATAGCTGATTATTTCCTCAGTCACAGACTGAATAGGTGGTCTGGTTGTATGTGCATATTCCTAATTTGCTTCCTGTACATTCATAGTAGGTATGGTACAGTAGAGTTTTAACTGTGGTATTTTTTATCCAGGTAATGTGTACACAGCGTGGACATCCTTCAAGAGATTTATCCCCTTTCAGTATAAGCATAAATGGTAACAACATTGTTGTATGTAATAGAAACATGCTTACACTACACATGGGCACAAAAACTTTCCTCTGGGCATAGACATTTGCAGCATTTGCAGTAATAACATAACAATGGAACAATCAGTATTGACAGAATTGTAACTATGGTTATAAATTGTATTCACATTTACTTATCTGGACATGGTCCTCTTAGCTTCGGCTGTGTGTACACTAGTCAGCTTCCGGGATGTGACTAGAGCAGAGTTTGAAGAATCCTTAAGCTTCAGCCATGCTTAGACTGACCAGCCTCCAGTGTGGTCAGAGCAGGGCGGTTGTCCTTTTTACCGGTGGCTGAGATTTGCCATAGGGCTATTCGAGTGGGGCAATCTGGGTCTTGTTGGCTAATCCACAGGTTGTCATCAGGACTCGCTACTGTCACTGGTTTTAGATGGCTATGGTGAATCCAAGGTGTGGCACCTGCAACTTTAACAGCAGTGGGAGTAGACATGATTACAATATGGCGCCTATCGTATATGGGTCCTAGAGTGGTTGAATTCCATTTTTTACCTAAACGAAGTCCCTAGGTTTGAAAGGGTGTACTGGGTCTGTTAGACTTATAGGCATTTTTTTACATACTTAACCATGCATTTTAGTATAGCCATACTTAAAGCCTGCATTTGCCTTCTTAAAGTTAGTTTTCCCAATTTACAGAGATTACCCTGAATCTGATTTTTATGGGGGGTGGGCAGCTGAACAAAATCTCAGAGGGCGAATACTCAGTTTTTTGGTGGGGGTGCACCTGACTCATAAGAGGACCATGGGCAAGACCTGATATTACTTCAGATGAGTTTTTCGACAAAATTTCTTCAACAGCTGCTTGAGTGTCCAGTTTATGCTCTCCACTTTACCTGAGATCTGCTACCTGTAGGCTGTATGTTATTTCCATTTTATTTTTAATAGTCGAGTTAAGTCCTGAACTATTTTAGCCACAAATGTTGGTCCATTCTCTGATCTTAGAGTTAGAGGCAGCCCAAATCTGGGAACAATGTCTCTTAACGCCTTGGTCACGTCTAGTGCCCTCTCTGTCCTGGTGGGAAAGGCCTTGAGCTATCCTGAAAAGGTGCAAATGAACACCAATATGTACTGATAGCCCCCGTCTCAGGGTCATTCAGTGAAGTCCATTAGCAGTTTTTCACAGGGCATGGCTCCTTTTTCCTGAACTCCCATGGGCCGAGTAGGATCTTGTCGTGGATTGTTCTGAGTGTAAGTTAAACACAGTTTACAAATGGCCCGAGTAATAGCAATGAGCCATGGCAGATAAAAATGATGCCTTAATAATGTCTTTATTTTTTTTTTTAATCTGAGTTCGGTGGTGGAATTGTTTTACAAATCTGGGGGTCACCATTTCAGGTATGGCTAGCCTCCCATTGAAGAATTTGTATTATCCTCTTTCAATGTAGTTCTTATTTTCCTGGGGAAGCCAAGCTCTGTTATTTGGAGTGAAGATTGGGATCTCCAGGAGGGGAATCTCCGGGAGGAGAGGCATAGCTAAGGCGTCTTCTTTAGGTGGAGTTGTCATTGCAGCCTTCTTTGCCTCTTTGCCTTCGTATCTTTTTTAGCCCTTAGTGTTCTTGCTTTTTGCTGCCTCTTGCAGGACTTCACTACCGTCACTTTTGGGGCCCATACAGCGTTTAAGAGCTGTAGGATTTCTTCCTTGTACTTTATTTCTTTGTTTCCAGCAGTTAAAAGTCTTCTTTTTTTCTTTGTAAATAACCTTATGAACATGCAAAGTGGCAGAAGCATATTTGGAACCTGTATAAATATTGGTCTTTTGGTCTTTTGCTAGCCAGAGAACTCTTGTCAGAGCTCTTAGTTCTGCTTTCTAATCAGAAGTTTCTGTAGATGAAGACTGCACCTCTACTGTTGAGTCTAAAGTCACCACTGCATACGCAGCTTGGCGGGCTCCTTTTAGTATGAAACTGCTTCCATCAGTAGAATATTCAATGTTTGGGTCCCTGAGGGACTGATCTGTCAAATCTCTCTGGCTTGAGAACACTTCATCTACCACGTCCACACCACAATGAAACGGTCCTCCTGGCACTGACTCGATGAGAGTGAGGTAGCCGGATTTAGGGTATTCACAGTCTCTAAAGTTAGTTTACTAGCTTCCTGCACCAGTACGGCAGTGGCTGCTAGTGCTTTAAGACAAGGAGGCCATCCAAGTGCAACAGAATCTAATTGCCTGGATAAATATGCCACCAGGCGATGCCATGACCTTATGGCTTGAGTCAGAACCCCTATGGCCTCCCTTTCACTTGTGCACATACAAGAAGAAAAGCTTGATTGGTTAGATCTGGCAGTCCTAAAGCTGGGGCCTGAGTCAAGGCTTCTTTGATTTCTTTAAAATCCTTCTCGTCTTTGGCTTCCTAGAGGAGGGGCTCCTTTTTTCCTCCTCTTAGTGGCTTGGTATGATGGCTTGACCATGAGCAAGAAATTTGGGTTGTAAACGCGGCAGAACCTTGCTGCTCTTAGAAACTCTCTTACTTGACACCGGGTGGTTGGAGTAGAAAGTGCACAAACAGCCTGCATTTTTTCAGGACTAAGCCATCTTTCCTCTTGGCTTATATAAAAGCTTAAATATTGACACTTTTAGAGGAGATTTGAGCTTTTTTCTGACACTTTTTATTCTGCCTTCTACAGCAGGTGCAGTGGTTCTTGGGTTTCTTCTGCGTGTAGTAGCCCTTGGCTGGTGTGTGTGTGTGATTTTTTGGTTCTGTTTTTTTGGGTTTTTTTTGTTTGTTTTTTGTTTCTTTTACTATTGCCCTGATCATTTTCATTATTTCTTTGACATTTATGCTTCCAGTGTCTTTCCTTTTGCACCATGCACATTAATCTCTCTCTAGCCTCGGCTGGCCTTCACACTCCTGTCCAGACTAGCCTTTTTCATGACTACGTTCACGCCCGCGTCCATGCCTCCTTGTAAAGCCAGCTCCTCTTCCCGGAAGGGCTGCTGCTAGTAAGTTAGCCTTTCTTAAGCCTGTGATCAGCCTTTTCCTTTGCCTCCTCATCTCGGTTAATTAACACCTTGGTTGTCACTTTAATAAGCTGAGTAGCATTCACGCCTACGGAGCTTGTAACTTCTGCAATTTATGCCTGATATCTCCTTGGGTCTGCCTTACAAGTGCTGGATTCACCCTGCACTGATTTTTGAGTAGCCTCAGGGTTAAACGGAGTGTACAATAAAAATGCCTCACAAAGTCTTTCATAGAACTTGCTGTGCTTTTATCTGCACCCTGAAGCATGTCTGAGATTTTTTAAAATATTGATTGCCTTTTTCTTTTACCATCCTTTAGCCTTTGCAGATGGGCTTCTCGGCACCTTTGCAGGTGCTGAATCTGGACTGCATCATCTGGGTCTTAGTGGGGGTCCTCCTGTCCTCTTAAGAGGCATGAGCATATCTTATGCGCGACCAGACCTGAGACGGCCTGCCTGATTTTCGCTCTCATTTCACCTTCTCGGGTGAGACTGGCAGCATGTATCCATTTGAACTTAACTCCTTAGGGACAGTTACCTTGGTAAAGGGGGTAGATTGGAATGTAAGGAGGAGCGGTCTCTATTCTTTTCTGTGGTTGTGACAAAACCGGTTTTTCTGCCTTTTCTGAGATTTTTTCATTTGTCTTCAGCTGCTGGGGCAGCTGATTTTACTTTCACTTTTGGCTGGGAGGTGCTACAAGCCTCTGTGTCTCCTTTTAACTCTGTAGCTGCCAGAGCAGCTGATTTTCTCTTGCCGTGAGCTGCGAGCATTCTACAGTAAACTGCTAGGCAGGGCTGCATTCATTTAGCCATGAGTCAATATAAAGACTAGGTCTGAATGTCCTGGCTGTTCTCTGACCCTAGTCACCACCTTAAAACACACGGCCAATTTTTCTATAGTGCCTTTGGCAAGCCATCTGACACTAAAACAGGGCTATTCTAATTCACAGTATGTCCTTAACTTTTGAACACTCAGTTTCATCCTATAATCACCTCTAACTCTTTTTTTAAAATTCTTTATTATGCTTTTCAAAGGAGCCACTTTTGATGTTTTCACTCTCATTTCCTCTCTTGCAGTTCACTTTCACTCTGACTTTCACTCTTGAGTCCACCAGACCTGGTCCTATTGCGGGAGTTTCAGATGCTGCTTAGCCAGGACCATGCCTTCCCCTGTCGCAGACTGCTGCAGCTCTAAAGCTGGTACTATCAGCCATATGAAGCATCTTAGGTCTGATTTTCCCCACATTCGCCTCAGAGCACACAGCCACCACTAAGGGATCTGTGCCTCCCCATGTCGCTGCCCACATTGGCCTCTCCCAATGTAACAGGAAGAGCGGCAGACAAAACCCCTTGGACACTGAGTTAAAGAAAGAAGGTGTTTATTCACCTGGGAGCTTCAGCAAGACTTCTTTCCCAAGAGCTGAACCCTCCGAGTGAGCAATTCCTGTCCCTTTTAAGGGCTCACAACTCTAAGGGGGTCCGCATGAGAGGGTCACGATCTATTGAGCAAGCAGTGGGTATGTGACTGGGGGCTGCATACACTGGTAATTAGAAAGGTACTGAACAGGACAGGGATCTTCACAGTGCATTTTTTATGCAAATAACCGATTAGGTCAGGGGTTGACCTTTAACTACCAGGCCCAGGGTGTGGCGCTGGGCTGTCTGCTTGTGGATTTCATTTCTGCCTTCTAGTTTTTACTTCTTCTTTCTTTGGAGGCAGAAATTGGGTATAAGACAATATGAGGGTTGGTCTCCTCCCTTATTTTCCCCCTTTGAGACTCTCACTCATTTTATTAGTGGGAGTTCTCACCTTCTTCCTCACTACCTATGTCTTCCTCTATCACAGATTGATAGTGATTCATGTAGTACACTCGTGCTGAAGCGTTCTGGTGAACTAGAGTTGCCATGAAAACTTTTACCACTTGAATGAGTACAGCTAGTAAGCAAGAGATCAGTAAGCAGGTTCCTATTACTACTATAGTTTCCATTATAAGAGTTTTAAATCCTTCTAGTGCCGGGAACCATTTTCAAACATGGCCTCAGTGTCAAATCGGTGCCACACTTGTACTGGCACATGTGCCAGTTTCATCATGTCTTTAACTATATCTTCGACTACTTGCCCCTGATCATCTATGTGCAGACAGCAAGTGGGCCTAATTACAGTCACTAAATTGGGCCTAATTACAGTCATAATCAATTTACTAAAATAACCAGACAGCAAGACAGGTTTCCAAACATTGGCAAATGTTTCAGGGAGAAAAAAATGCCCCACTAGAGAAGCATGGTTGTATCTCTGTGTGTACATACACACGGGGCCAGGCAGTTCTATGCATGATAGTCTGGGACTGTAAAAGTGACTATGCAAACCTTTACATTCTGTCACAGAACTTACAATTTAAAGTGAGCATCTTTTTCTGTGACTTAGAAATTGACTTTTTTTTTTTAGTTGGGAGCCACTTTTAGCAATTTTCCCTTTGTTGATACATAATAATAGTATATATTTGTGGTGCATGAGTGATATTTTGATACATGCATGCAATGTACAGTGATCAAATCAGGGTAATTAGAATATCCATCACCTCAAACATGGATATTATTTTCTTTGTGTTTGAAAAATTTCCTTTGTGTTGGGAGAATTTAAAGCCATCTCTTCTATCTATTTTAAAATATATTAAAAATTAGTGCTAACTGTAGTTATCCTACTGTGCTGTCAGACACTAGAAATTATTCCTCCTATGATAAAAAGTTTAGGCTGTATCCCATGGGTAGTAGGACACCACATGACTGAGTGGTCATCTGGGAAATTATCTGGATGACTTTGGAACATTCCTGGTTGAGCCAGGTGGCTGTTGCAACAAACTGTGGGGAAGCCCCTCCCCTAATGCCCCCTAAGCCAGCTGTCACTACATGGCAGGAAACCTCCAAACCTGAGGGCCCCAGGAAACAATGACAGTCCCCACTCACATGCAACTTGTGCTGTGCTCAGTGCCCTCCACATTGAGCCTGATCTAGCTTTACCCGAGGGCTGTGAGGTGGGACAATCAGTATCCCTTTATTTTAAAAGGCTCAGTGAAGTTTTGGGCTTAATGTGAGTGAAGTGATCCTAAAAGCTGACTCTGGGATACCGGCTCCACCACTGACCAGTCCTGCAGGTGGCGAGAGTTGCCTCTCCTCCCCTCGATTTCATTTTGTCCTCTGTGAAGTGCAGCCGTGCTGATGACTCACATATCAGGGATACATGGGAACTGTCAATGAACGGAGTGCTCTACACAGTGACTGGAGCTCAGAATGCAGATGAGGGAGGAGGGTGACCCATAATTCTGAGGGAAGTCCCAACATAATTTAGCCCTTCCATCTAGTAGCCGGGCCCCAGTACAGAGTCCTATGTCAGTGACAGGGCAAACTGAGACCAGCTCAAACACAGCCTCTTCCTCAGCAGCAGGGCCCAACTAAGGCACTTGGTGTTTTGGTTCATTTCCTGCAGCTTCAATGTAAAGAATATTGTGAGACATTTGCTGGAACAACTGAAAATCAGAAGAAGAAGAGACAGCTCTTCTCCATCTCCCTGAGAGCTCTTCCCCAGAATGTGTTTATCCAGAGAGGAGGGGAAATATTTATTTTTCGTAAATAGTAAATGCTAGAGTCGAATATTATATGAAAATCTCATTCTACTACAAAATCGGAGTTGTGGTTGTGGTTCTTTTTATTTCACTTGTGTAAGCTTAAATGAGATACAGACTCTAACATTTCTCCTTGAATTATGAAATCCTAAAGAGTCAGCAGCATAATGTATGAGGAAGAAGAGAAAAGCAGTCATAGTTTCTGGCTGCCGGATAAGACACCCAGGTCCATTTTTCTCAGAGCATATGTTCATTTTAATATTAACCCAAGGAAAGAGTGAAGATAGATCATTCGAACTTGCAGAATTAATAATTTGAAGGTATTTTCACAAAGCATAGCGACAGTCTTGGAAATATAGATTTCTTTAAAAAGCAGTTGCAGAGATCAGGAGGATGAATACCTTTCTATGATTTTACAAAAAATAAATCAACTTCTGCTTCACTTGCTGAGGTTTCCTCTAAGCAACTATTAGGACATTGTTGTTTTTTCTTCCAACTCTGGAGTTGCATCAGGTCTATGTGGAAAAAAACATTATAAAATAAAATGAACAAAGTCAAAAGGAGAAGGCCAGGGAAAGTCTATTGACAATGGATGCAGGGCAGAAAGGAAGCTGCATTCTCAATCTTCTTCTGGTGTCCTGTGATTGAGCCTTTACCTTAGATGTAAATCCTCCCAGAGTTTTGTGTCTTACCTTAGAATTTCTATTCTTTTTTTAAGTTAGTTTCTTATCTAGAATGAAAGAATTGTAATGCCACTTTATGGCTACACCTGGGCCTTATTCTGTAAATATTTTTACTACCTATGAGGTAAAATTCCCAGCATTAGGGCAATTCTTTATCCAATTTTTTCTTTCTGAGACAGAGTCTTGCTGTGTCACCCAGGCTTGAGTACATTGGTACAATCTTGGCTTACTGCGATCTCCCCCTCCTGGGTTCAAGAGATTCTGCTGCCTCAGGCTTCTGTGTAGCTGAGATTACAGGCACCCAGCTTCATGTCCAGCTAATTTTTGTACGTTTAGTATGTTTAGTAAATTTTGTATTTTTAGTTTCACTATGTTTGTCAGGCTGGTCTTGAACTCCTGACCTCCAATAATCTGCCCGCCTTGGCCTTCCAAAGTGCTGGAATTACAGGTGTGAACCAATTCTTTTTGAGGAATAAATTACCTAAAGGTCCTCAAGCCTTTCTGTCAGGCATATCTTGGCCTTTTCTCTCTGACTGGGGTCCGATGAATCACAGGTGGGCACTATTTTTCTATATTCCCAACCAGTGATAATCCTTGCGCTCTTTATTTCTAATTAAAAGAAATCCAAAATGGAGATAGTTATTTGAGAGGTCTCTAAAGACAACTAGGAGGACATGAGGAGTTGAATTAATACTCATACACACCCAGGTGGAATTTTACCTGTTCGAACTGGGAAAATTACAGATGTCCTAAAAAGGCAACTGCATTTGACTTGGATTGTTTATACTGAGCCTGATCACAAACCTCCTGAAGAGAAAGCTGTGCTGAATTAAGCTGATGATTGCCTAGATACAGTCTAAGCTGGCAATCAAACATTGTCCATCATAGACTGTGCTAAAATCTTTCACTTGTGTAAACTTGCAGTAAAACTTTATAAGTCCCTCCCTAACCTCATCTGAATGGAACATGATATAGCTTCTTGCTAAATTTGTGTCTCCCAAATAGCAATTTATAAAAAATCATGATTAAAATGCCTTTTATTTTATTTTCCACAGGGTCTGTTTTACTCCCATGTTATAAAATGCTTTTCTCAAGAAAGCATAGAGCCCATTCTCTTCTCTAGAGAGAATCGCAGCCTTGCAAAAGAGACAACTAAAAATACATACATATAAGTATCAAGAATTTAAAACTCAAAATATTAAATATGTTACAAAAGTATATAAGCAATAGAATAAATAGGATGAATAGCAAAATGGATAAAATCAACTGTGAGTTGAAAGCCTGAAAGTTCAGGTGAAGGTGTTGAAAATGCTTCAGAAAAAACTAAAGAGATAAATATTTATAAAAATAAAGAGCTGGGCTCAGTGGCTCACACTTGAAATTTCAGCTGCTAGGGATGCTGAGGCCAGAGGATCAATTAAGGCCAGAAGTTTGAGACAAGCCTAAGCAAGACCTTGTCACTGAAAATGTTTTAAAAATTATTTTGACATTATAGCATGTAACTGTGGTCTCAACTACTTAGAAGGCTGAGGCAGGAGGATTACTTGAACTCAGGAAGTTGAGGTTACAGTGAACTATAATCATGCTACCGTACTCCAGCCTGGAGTGAGGCAAAATCTAGTCACATTAAAATAAAATAAAACAAAATAAAATAAATTAAAATAAAATAAAATATAATCTAGTCACGTTAAAATAAAGTACAATTATCAAGGACAAAAATAAAATTGTACAACTTGGCAATAGAAAAAAAATAGAGCATAGAGCAACTGGGGGAAAGGGGGTTGAAAGTATAATTTCCTTTTTATTTCCTTAGTTGGTCATTACTTAGACTTTTTCACTTAATTAAAATTTTCTTATACTTTGGTGCCCAGTTAACCCCAGAGCATTTTTAATTAATTGTTTTAGAGGTAGATACTCATATAAGCTTTCCACTGCAAATTACAAGAGCCAAATTTTAAATAAATGTTGGACCTCTAAATTTTCTATTTGCAATATTTAAGGAAATAAAAATTATAAAAAACACTTTGTAAAACATTTAGTATGTAACTGCTGTTTCTAACGTATAATAAATCCAATTATGGCAGAGACTCACTCTGTTGTTGAGAATCTCTCCATTATATGACTGCTGCTTGTGGTGCTTAAACCTCAGGAAGAAAGAATATATGAATGTCTGAACATTGCTTTAAAAAGACAATGTACATTTAATGTAGAGATATGTGACCAGCTTAGAAAGCTGCACTTTTTCCACAGCAGGCAAACCGGAGCCTGGATACCCCAGGGTCACAGCTCATGAGAACATAGGGCTGGACTGTGAGAAAACAAGAAGCAATTAGTGCAGAGGAGTTGACAAGACACCAACTGGGCTGAGAAAAAAGAGCTGATAGATTAATTTCCAAATTATACTACAAAACATACAATAAGCAGACCCCATAGCTTTATACATTAAAACCAAATGATGACAAAGAGTGAGGATTGCATTAAATTAAATTAGGAGCAACTAAAGACTGGTTTATGATCTTGAACCTTTAGTCACTCTCCATAGTTCCATCCCATGACCCGGTAATTATTTCCTGCTTTCTGCATGCCTTGGACACTGGTCCATTTCTGGCCCCAAAGTGTTCCTTTTTCTAATAAGAGTACTTACTTCATCTCTTAATACAATTCCTTTCCTTGCATACTGTGCCCCAAAGAAGAAATATTAAAAACTTTCCTGATGTTTTTCTGCTGCGGGGTTAATGGGCTCAGAGTGATGATAAGAACGGCCAATGAGTGTGTGGAGCCAGATAGTGCTTAAAATATGGACTTCAGTCCAGTGAAGTCTAACAAGATTGGCACCTGAGCACTCTTCTCTGAGACCTGAGGATGGACTCACTGAACCTGGAGCTACTAACGCAGCTGATACCCACATATATACACCACCTGTGTTCCTAGAAACTGGCCTTCCCAGCCCATCACAGCAAACACCAACACCAGCATGGAACGCTTGGGAGTCAAAGGTTTTTCTTGTCGTTGCTACTGCCATCATCCATGCCATAACCACTGTCCAGGGGCTCAAGAAGCTGCCCACCCACCTTGCTCACTGCTGACACCTGAGCAAATCACATGAAGGCCAAATAATTAGTCTTCCTGGACCTGTTAACACTGCTGCCAGCATAACTGCCTTGAGGCCCAAAAGCAGGCATGGTAAGCTCACCACTGCCATCACTGGGATCCAATGACTAAACCTCTGGTGCCCCTATTCCCAGCAAAACTTTACCACAGCCTCTGCTAAAAACGATACCCTAAGCCACTGAGAAAGGTACAGACACCACTGATACTCTTTACAGCCAAAGAAATCATATAAAGACAGGCCGGGTATTGTGGCTCATGCCTGTAATTCCAGCACTTTGGGAGGCCAAGGCCAGTGGCTCGCTTGAGGCTAAGAGTATGATACCAACCTGGGGAACATGGCAAAACCCTGACTCTACTAAAAACACACAAATTTGTTGGGCATAGTGGTAGGCACCTGTAATCCCAGCTACTTGGGAGACTGAGGCACGAGAATCGCCTGAACTCAGAGGTGGAGCCTACAGTGAGCCGAGATAGTGCCACTACACTCCATCCTGGGCAACAGAGCAAGGTTCTATCTTAAAATATATACACATACAGAGTTTAAAGTCTGTGCTCTCCTCTCCTTAGCTGCCTTTTGACTGTGTAAGTGTATGTTTGGGAAGGGAGGGGTAGGATGAGGACAGGCCAGCAGAGAGTCACCAGCACTGGCTAAAGGTCTCAGACCAAATTTTATACTCTTGACCAGGAGAAACTTCTCTGTTATTCTAATCACATTAAACTCAAGCATTTTCTTTTTTTCTTTCTTTTTTTTTGAGAAATCACATCGAACTTCCAAAATTATAAAGTTGAAAATATGTAATAATTGACAATTGGAAACAAGAAAGAGGATTAGCTATAAAAATAACTCAGGACAATGTATTTATCATGAAAAGATGGTCTTGGTGGAAGAAAGTTTCATGCCCAGCCAGCCCATTCTTCAATATCTGCTAAAAAAAAAAAAAGAGCAAAGGGAACTTAAAGACATCATAGACTTGGAAATTTCGTCTCACAGTGCATTAATTTCCCAAATCACATGTGGAAGAGAAGAAGCTGCTGCATATTAGACTAACTAGTTTTACTGAATGTTGTCTGTTGATTTAAAAATTAATACTCTTATCAAGAGCAAATTGAAATACTGAAAGTTATTTACTAAACAGCAAAGAATATTTTCAGTATATAAAAAGATTTAAAAAAACGTTGACACCTTAACTAAATCTGACACAAATTTAAAAGGAAAAGTAACTAGAAAATGAAAGAAGCGTCGTACAAGTATGCGATGCACCCTCTGTTGCACCAACTGCTCCTGTTTGTTGAGTCCCCTCTTCTATTCTGCCTCCTCCATCTCCTTGCTGATTCCCCTTTTTGTCTATTTTAATTTCTCTCTCTATTCCTTTCTCAGGTCACCATGTCACATTCCTTTTGTGTCTTTTGATGTCCAATCTCACCGACACCACCTTCATTCTCTATTTTATCTTTACAAATGGTTAATTAGGCATAAAGAGGGAAAACACTCCTGGGAAGATACCTGAATCCTGGTGCACACTATCATTATCACTGTTTTTCATGTTGATGCTCATGTGTCTCTGCTTTCTCGACAGACTATTTAATCAGCAGACAGATCAACAGGCCAAAATTTCCACCATACTTGCAAATTTGAATGCGGATGAATGGATTAAAACACATTCAAGTCTTGCAATGAACGGCATAATGTATGGTGGTATAATTCAGAGTGGTTACAGGGGAGAGTTAAAGATCATTTTATACAATATCACTCGAGAATCTTTTGCTGTAAAACTGCAGATGTGGGTTCCTCAATTTTTAGTGGTACCTTGTCAACAATTAACCCCTGAGGATGTCTCTGCCCCAACAGAGGCTACATACAGAACTGGGAGATTCAGACGCACTGGTACACGTAGCTTAAATCCTGGAGCCAAAATATGAGTACAGCGTCCATCACATCCTACTCCTATGGCTGGTGAACTTGTAGCTATGGGAGAAGAAACTGAAGGCATAGTACAGTTTCCTAAAGATGAAAAACAATATTATGTTCCCCTCTGTTTTGGTTATTACAGAGAATAACCTGTTTACTAATGGTCAGTACCTGTGTCTCTGTGTCTGATGCCAAGAATAAATTCATCATCTGCATAGCCGCCACTGCAACAGAAGCCAACTGCAGTCAATGTTGGCTATGCGTGGAATTGCCAGAGGCCACCAAAAATGGGCTACGTTGGAGAATCGTCCCTGTACCTTACTGCATACCGAATGTTGTGTGTATATCCCTGACAATTCTCACACTACGACTCTCCTTGCACAGCCATGGTGGGTGTGGTTTTCATTAACTGTGCTTTTAATTCTCCTGTGCTTACCCTGAGTCTGTAATCTGTATCAACTATGCTTTCCCCAGTATCTGTAAGGGTATTTTCCTACAATTGAGTATCAAATTGAAGCCAAATTTGGAAGAAAAGTTAAATATTCAATTTTATCTCAATTGAACATGGACACAAACAATGGTCACCAAGTCCCGGAACAGGTTCTGTGAGTTTCTTCAGGCGTTCATCCACCAGTGTCTCAGAGAAATTTCTATTTTAATCTGTTCCTGTATGTTAGTTATTGAAAAACAACAGACAATCGCCAAAAATTTGACATTTTTGTGGTTTTTGAGCCCAGTAGTGAAGAGTCCTCGTTACCCGGCCTTATGCCAAAGAACTCCTTACAAAAAGAGCTAGGGTCCCAGATGGCACTAGAGCTTCCTGAGACCTCTCCCCATCTCTGCAGGGATGAGGGGCCAACTCTGTAGCCCAGGCTGTTGCTTCCCGGTCTGTTGATGAATCCTCCATAGTCTGGTGAGTGTAGTGTCTGACTCTGGAGCCCAGGCTATTGCTTCTCTGTCTGGTGATGCTTCCTCCATACTCTGTAGTCTGCTGTGTGTAAACATATGTATATATATATATACACATATATATGTATATAATTTATACATATAACTGTAAATAAAAATAATTATATAATTATGTACATAATTATTTAAATAAATAAATGTAAATAAATACATATATAATTGTATATATATAATATATATATTTATATATATAAAAAATATATATATTTTTTCCCTTCTCATATCAATTTGCTTATCATATCATTTACTTATTATATCTGTATTGCCATATAATTGAGACAAAAGATGTTTACCCTTAAAAGTATTGTGTGTGCCTTTTCTTCTTCCTCATGCATCTCCCATGCAGAACACATGCCTGACAAATTTTTATATTTTTAGTGGAGACTGGGTTTAGCCATGTTGGCCAGGCTGATCTCAAACTCCTGACCTCAGGTGATCCTTCCATCTCGGCATCCCAAAGTGCTGAGATTATAGGCATGAAACACCCAGCCAGGAGGAGGCATTTCTACAAAGAAAACGTACAAATGGCAAACAGACATATAAATGTTGCTAAACATCATTAAACCTCAGAGAAATGCAAATCAGAACTACAATAAGATATTATCTCACTCCAGTTAAAATGTCTTATATCCCAAAGACAGACAATAACAAGTGCTGACGAGGATGTGGAGAAAACTTTAGTGCACTCTTGGTGGGAATGTAAATTAGTATAACCAGTATAAAAAAGTGTGGAGGTTCCTCAAAAAGCTAAAAATTGAGCTGCCACAGCTACAATGCAACCTAACAATCCCAGTGATGGGCATTGACACAAAAGAAAGAAAATCGGCTTGTTGCTGCACTGTTTACAATAGCTAAGATTTGAAAGCAAACTGTCTACAAATGAATGAATGTATAAAAAAAGTAGTACATATATACATTGGAGTAGTATTCAGCCATAAAAATGAGATTTTGTCTTTTACGACAACATGGATAAAAGAGAAGAGTATGTTAAGTGAAATAAGCCAGGCACAGAAAGATAAACACTGTGCGTTCTCACTTATTCGTGGGATGGAAGAATTAATACAACTGAATTCACGGACATAGAGAGCAGAAGGATGGTTTTCAGAGGCTAAGAAAGACAGTGGAGGCTGGGGGAAAGGTGGGGACTGTTAACGTGTACAAAAAAATAGAATAAATAAGACATATTATTTGATAGCACAACGAGATGACTCTGGTCAATAATAATGTAATTGTACATTTTAAACTAGCTAAGAAGGAATAATCACATTTTAACCCAAAGAATAAATGCTTGAGTGGGTGGGTATCCCACTCTCTATGATGTGATTATTATGCATTGCGAGACCGCATCAAAACATCTCATGAACCCCATAAGTATATACACCTACAATGCATCCTCAAAAATTACAAATTAACTGAAGTAAATAAAATAAAACTATTTAAAAATAAAATATCATAACATTAACTAGCCCCAGAAATATAAGATTTTAATGAAATAAAAATGCCTCTATAATAATCAAACAGTGAGAAGAAAGTCACACTTTACTCCTATTTTTGTTTCTGATCTACCTTCTATCTAGTTTCAAGTTGTAGAATTTTCTTTTTTCATTTCTAATTAAATTTTATTTTATTTTATTTTTTTATTATACTTTAACTTTTACGGTACATGCGCACAACATGCAGGTTTGTTACATATGTATACATGTGCCATGTTGGTGTGCTGCACCCAGTAACTCGCCATTTAACATTAGGTATATCTCCAAATGCTATCCGTCCCCCCTCACCCTACCCCACAACAGGCCCCGGAGTGTGATGTTCCCCTTCTTCTGCCCATATGTTCTCTTTGGTCAATTCCCACCTATGAGCGAGAACATGCGGTGTTTGGTGTTTTGTGCTTGGATAGTTTGCTCAGAATGATGGTTCCAGCTTCATCCATGTCCCTATAAAAGACATGAACTCTTCATTTTTTATGGCTGCATTTTGTTCCATGGTGTATATGTGCCACATTTTCTTAATCCAGTCTATCATTGTTGGACATTTGGGTTGGTTCCAAGTCTTCGCTATTGTGAACAGTGCCGCAATAAACATACTTGTGCTTGTGCCTTTATAGCAGCATGATTTATACTCCCCTGGGTGTATACCCAGTAATGGGATGGCTGGGTCAAATAGTATTTCTAGTTCTAGAGCCCTGAGGAATCGCCACACTGACTTCCACAATGGTTGAACTAGTTTACAGTCCCACCAACCGTGTAAAAGTGTTTCTATTTCTCCACATCCTCTCCAGCACCTGTTGTTTCCTGATTTTTTAATGATCGCCATTCTAAGTGGTGTGAGATGGTATCTCATTGTGGTTTTGATTTGCATTTCTCTGATGGCCAGTGATGATGAGCATTTTTCCATGTGTCTTTTTGCTGCATAAATGTCTTCTTTTGAGAAGGGTCTTCATATCCTTCACCCACTTTTTGATGGGGTTGTTTTTTTCTTGTAAATTTGTTTGAGTTCATTGTAGATTCTGGATATTAGCCCTTCGTCAGATGAGTAGATGGCACAAACATTCTCCCATTCTGTAGGTTGCCTGTTCAGTCTGATGGTAGTTTCTTTTGCTGTGCAGAAGCTCCTTAGTTTAATTAGATCCCATTTGTCAATTTTGGCTTTTGTTGCCATTGCTTTTGGTGTTCTAGACATGAAGTCCTTCCCCATGCCTATGTCCTGAATGGTATTGCCTAGGTTTTCTTCTAGGGTTTTTACGGTTTTAGGTCTAACATTTAAGTCTTGAATCCATCTTGAATTAATTTTTGTATAAGGTGCAAGGAAGGGATCCAGTTTCAGCTTTCTACATACGGCTAGCCAGTTTTCCCAGCACCATTTATTAACTAGGGAATCATTTCCCCATTTCTTGTGTTTGTCAGGTTTGTCAAAGATCAGATGGTTGTAGATATGTGGCATTATTTCTCAGGGCTCTGTTCTGTTCCATTGGTCTATATCTCTGTTTTGGTACAAGTACAATGCTGTTTTGGTCACTGTAGCCTTGTAGTATAGTTTGATGTCAGGTAGCGTGATGGCTCCAGCTTTGTTCTTTTGGTTTAGGATTGACTTGGCAATGAGGGCTCTTTTTTAGTTCCTTATGAACTTTAAAGTAGTTTTTTCCAATTCTGTGAAGAAAGTCTTTGGTAGCTTGATGGGGATGGCATTGAATCTATAAATTACCTTGGGCAGTATGGCCATTTTCACGATATTGATTATTCCTACCCATGAGCATGGAATGTTCTTCCATTTGTTTGTATCCTCTTTTATTTCATTGAGCAGTGGTTTGTAGTTCTCCTTGAAGAGGTCCTTCACGTCCTTGTAAGTTGGGTTCCTAGGTATTTTATTCTCTTTGAAGCAATTGTGAATGGGAGTTCACTCACGATTTGGCTCTCTGTTTGTCTGTTATTGGTGTATAAGAATGCTAATGATTTTTGCACACTGATTTTGTATCCTCAGACTTTGCTGAAGTTGCCTATCAGCTTAAGGAGATTTTGGGCTGAGATGATGGGGTTTTCTAGATATACAATCATGTCATCTGCAAACAGGGACAATTTGACTTCCTCTTTTCCTAATTGAATACCCTTTATTTCCTTCTCCTTCCTGATTGCCCTGGCCAGAATTTCCAACATTATGTTGAATAGGAGAGGTGAGAGAGGGCATCCCTGTCTTGTGCCTGTTTTCAAAGGGAATGCTTCCAGCTTTTGCCCATTTAGTATGATATTGGCTATGGCTTTGTCAGAGATAGCTCCTATTACTTTGAGATACGTCTCATCAATTCCTAATTTATTGAGAGTTTTTTGCAGGAAGAGTTGTTGAATTTTGTCAAAGGCCTTTTCTGCATCTCTTGATATCTCAAGATAATCACATGGTTTTTTTGTCATTGGTTCTGTTTATAAGGTGGATTACGTTTGTTGATTTGTGTATGTTGAACCAGCCTTGCATCCCAGAGATGAAGCCCACTTGATCATGGTGGATAAGCTTTTTGATATGCTGCTGGATTCGGTTTGCCAGTATTTTATTGAGGATTTTTGCATAGATCTTCATCGGAGATATTGGTCTAAAATTCTCTTTTTTTGTTGTGTCTCTGCCAGGCTTTGGTATCAGGATGATGCTGTCCTCATAAAATGAGTTAGGGAGGTTCCCTCTTTTTCTATTGATTGGAATAGTTTCAGAAGGAATGGTACCAGCTCCTCCTTGTACCTCTGGTAGATTTTGGCTGTGAATCCATCTAGTCCTGGACTTTTTCTGGTTGGAAAGCTAATTATTAATTATTGCCTCAATTTCAGAGCCTGTTATTGGTCTATTCAGAGATTCAAATTCTTCCTGGTTTAGTCTTGGGTGGGTGTATGTGTCGAGGAATTTATCCATTTCTTCTAGATTTTCTAGTTTATTTGCATAGAGGTGTTTATAGTATTCTCTGATGGTAGTTTGTATTTCTGTGGGATCGGTGGTGATATCCCCTTGGGTTTAATAAACAGATAACATCAAACATTCAACTAATCCAATAAAAAGAAATTTTATTCATTTGAGAATGTGTTTTCCAGAGCATACTTATATATTACGTTTTAACTTCATAATTTATATTTTATAAAAACATAACTAATTCAAGTTAATCTTCTCTAATTTTTAATTCAATTGAATTTTTATCAGGATCACTATATTTAAACAAAAATTACCTGAATTTTTCACACCATAATTTATAGATTCTGCTTCTACAAATTGTCTGTAGGGACCATTATTTCTACACGGTCTACTTTCCTGGGTTAAGTGGTGGATACCCAAATGTTTTTGGAATAATGTTTTCTTATATCAGTTTTTAGTCAGTGATACGTTGCACCATGTTTAATTTTAAGCATTATCAGTTTTCTTTTTTTTTTTTAATTGATCATTCTTGGGTGTTTCTCGCAGAGGGGGATTTGGCAGGGTCACAGGACAATAGTGGAGGGAAGGTCAGCAGATAAACAAGTGAACAAAGGTCTCTGGTTTTCCTAGGCAGAGGACCCTGTGGCCTTCCGCAGTGTTTGTGTCCCTGGGTACTTGAGATTAGGGAGTGGTGATGACTCTTAAGGAGCATGCTGCCTTCAAGCATCTGTTTAACAAAGCACATCTTGCACCGCCCTTAATCCATTCAACCCTGAGTGGATACAGCCCATGTTTCAGAGAGCACAGGGTTGGGGGTAAGGTCACAGATCAACAGGATCCCAAGGCAGAAGAATTTTTCTTAGTACAGAACAAAATGAAAAGTCTCCCATGTCTACCTCTTTCTACACAGACACGGCAACCATCCGATTTCTCAATCTTTTCCCCACCTTTCCCCCCTTTCTATTCCACAAAACCGCCATTGTCATCATGGCCCATTCTCAATGAGCTGTTGGGTACACCTCCCAGACGGGGTGGTGGCAGGGCAGAGGGGCTCCTCACTTCCCAGTAGGGGCGGCTGGGCAGAGGCGCCCTTCACCTCCCGGACGGGGCGGCTGGCCAGGCGGGGGGCTGACCCCCCACCTCCCTCCTGGACAGGGCGGCTGGCCGGGCGAGGGGCTGACCCCCTCACCTCCCTCCCAGACGGGGCGGCTGGCCGGGCGGGGGGCTGACCCCCCACCTCCCTCCCGGACGGGGCGGCTGACCGGGCGGGGGGCTGACCCCCCCACTTCCCTCCCGGATGGGGTGGCTGGCCGGGCAGAGGGGCTCCTCAGTTCCCAGTAGGGGCGGCCGGGCAGAGGCGCCCCTCACCTCCCGGACGGGGCGGCTGGCCGGGCGGGGGGCTGACCCGCCCACCTCCCTCCCCCCCAGAAGGGGTGGCTGGTCGGGCGGGGGGCTGATCCCCCACCTCCCTCCCAGACGGGGCGGCTGGCCGGGCAGAGGGGCTCCTCACTTCCCATCAGGGGCTGCCGGGCAGAGGCGCCCCTCACTTCCCGGATGGGGCGGCTGGCCAGGCGGGGGGCTAACCCACCCACCTCCCTCCCGGAGGAGGCGGCTGGCCGGGCGGGCGGCTGACCCCCCACCTCCCTCCCGCATGGGGTGGCTGGCCAGGTGGGGGGCTGACCCCCCCACCTCACTCCCGAACGAGGTGGCTGCCAGGCGGAGATGCTCCTCACTTCCGAGACGGGGTGACTGCCGGGCGGAGGGGCTCCTCACTTCTCAGACGGGGTGGTTGCCAGGCAGAGGGTCTCCTCACTTCTCAGACGGGGCGGCCGGGCAGAGACATTCCTCACATCCCGGACGGGGCGGCAGGGCAGAGGTGCTCCCCACATCTCAGATGATGGGCGGCCGGGCAGAGACGCTCCTCACTTCCAGATGTGATGGCGGCCGGGAAGAGGCGCTCCTCACTTCCTAGATGGGATGGCGGCCGGGCAGAGACGCTCCTCACTTTCCAGACTGGGCAGCCAGGCAGAGGGGCTCCTCACATCCCAGACGATGGGCGGCCAGGTGGAGACGCTCCTCACTTCCCAGACGGGGTGGCGGCCGGGCAGAGGCTGCAATCTCGGCACTTTGGGAGGCCAAGGCAGGCTGCTGGGAGGTGGAGGTTGTAGCGAGCCGAGATCACGCCACTGCACTCCAGCCTGGGCACCATTGAGCACTGAGTGAACGAGTCTCCGTCTGCAATCCCGGCACCTCGGGAGGCCGAGGGTGGCGGATCACTCGCGGTTAGGAGCTCAGCCCGGCCAACACAGCGAAACCCCGTCTCCACCAAAAAAATACGAAAACCAGTCAGGCGTGGCGGCGCGCGCCTGCAATCGCAGGCACTCGGCAGGATGAGGCAGGAGAATCAGGCAGGGAGGTTGCAGTGAGCCGAGATGGCAGCAGTACCATCCAGCTTCGGCTCGGCATCAGAGGGAGACCGTGGAAAGAGAGGGAGAGAGAGACCGTGGGGAGACGGAGAGGGTGAGGGAGAGGGAGAGGGAGAGGAAGAGGGAGAGCTATCAGTTTTCTTTCTTGTGCATTATTTTCACAGTAATATAAATTATGGACATCAAAATATCCTCAGGGTTAAAAATGTTGGAGTCCAAGCATTCTATATTCTTGATTTGTATGGTTTCAATTATGACTCAGCATTTTAGGAAAACATTGGCTCTATAATCTGTCACCCTCACCCCATTTAAATAAAAACATACTTTTTTGGACACAAGGATCAGGCATACACATCTACACAGTGGATCACATCATTTTTGGGGGCAAACTGAAAACTGTTTTTATACTCAAACATACTGTTGGGAAACTGTGAAATAAAAATTTCTGATGTTTGTTAAAAATTGGGAAGAAAGACATTAATACTATTGTAGTAGATTTTATGGCCATCGTAATAGGGTTCAGTTCAGAAATTGATCATAACTCTGAACACAGACAACGAAGAATTTATAGTCAATAAGCAGAATAAATCAGTGGATAAGAATTATTGAAAAACATTTGATAAAATACCAAAGGAGGAAGAGGAACTTTTTATAGCAGAAGCCTGGTTACAGGTTGGCTAAGGACTTAAATATCAAAGAAAGGGAATCACGATATTAGTAGACATAAGGGATATGTGGATTTTTACTAAACAGTATTAGCAGGATTTATGAAAGTGAGCCTCTCAAACCAGGAGCAGGGCAAGAAGTCAAGGTTGGCTTAGTCAAAAAGAGGGTTCAGTTAAGCTTGACTAACATTTGGTCATAAAGGTAGTGCTTAAAAGAACCCAGATTTTTTTCCCATCTGATCTCAAAATAAATAATCACCAAAAAAGGCTTTGTTTGAAAAATGAGTGCCCACTTCACCTGAGAAAACCTCCATCTTCTTCTGTTTACCTTTGAATTTAGTGTAGAAAAAGAGCACTTGTCATTGCCACAGTTTTAATTTTGCTTTCACTCTTAAAAACAGAGAGTCAGGGCTGGGTGTGGTGGTTCATGCCTGTAATCCCAGCATTTTGGGCATGGTGATGCAAGCACACCTGTAATCCCAGCTACTTGAAAGGCTGAGGCAGGAGAATCACTTGAACCCAAGAGTCAGAGGTTTCAGTGAGCCAAAATCACACCACTGCACTCCAGCCTGGTGACAGAGTGAGACTCCATCAAACAAAACAAAACAAAACAAAACAAAACAAAACACAAAATTAGAAATTTAGTTTTATTCAAACAGCAACTTACAAACACAAAGGTTATAGTTTCTGACCCCTATTCAAGACAATTGGTTGTAACCATAAGTATTGATGGGACTTCAGGGAGATTCCTCAGATGGAGCTGATGCAGCTGTGCAAGCCACTTTGACCTTGCATCTTTCCTACTTCTTACCTTTGAAATGGACATGGTTGCTGGTGCAGGCTTGTGCTCCTACAGCCAGCCATATGGGACCATGAGACAGCCTACAGGATAAAAACCATCTACTGAAATATTGTAGCAAAGTGTGCCAAGAGGGCTGACTAGAAGTAGCTATGGTGTGTGGCTTTCATGAAAAGAAACAAAGAGGGAAAATAAATACAGCACCATCAACTGAAACACCCAGATATTTGCAGTGGGACTAATGAAGGAAACAGCTCAACCCATGGGAAAAAGAAGGGCATGGCAACCGCCCACCCGGGAGTAACACAGACCAAAGGGAACCTACCCTGCCCAAGGAAGTGGTGAGCAAATACGTGACCCTGAGAAACCACACTTCTCCCATGGATCTTTGCAACTCTCGGGTCAGGAGATTTTCTCGTAAACTTATTCCACCAGGGCCTTTGGTCTGATACACAGAGCTGCGTGTTCCCGGCAGAACAACTGCTCAGACACAAACAGAATCGCAGGAGCTTTACATACTTTGGCTCTGAGATCTCTGGCAAAGGTGACTGCAACTCAGACAAGGTGGGAGGTTGGATCTCCGTAAATGCCCCTAGAAAGGAAGCTGAATCCATGGGCCTGAGCAGCATCAGTGGGCCCCACTTCCATGACGCCTCACAGGATAAGACCTACTGGCTTGGAATTCCATCCAGCCCCCAGCAACAGCATTGCAATTACCTGGGATGGAACAACGTTCCTGGAGGCAGGGGCTGGCTGCTATATTTGCTGTTTGGATGACTCAGCCATTCCAGCCTGGAGGTTTAGGAGAGTTAAAAAAAAAAAAAACTCATGGCAGATGGAAGAAATCCCTTAGCACGGCACATTGGCCCTCCCAAAGTTTGGCCGGACTACTTCTTGAAGTGGGACCCAGATACCTTTTTCATCTCAGAGTGGGGCCTCCTACCAGAGCCTCCAGACAGCCCCTTCCATATTCTCCGGCAGGCAGAGTTTTGATTTATTCCTGGATGCAGTGCACATTGGGAGCAGTGGGTCTTCATATTTGTTGTTTGGAGAACTCAGCCATAACAATCAGTGGGCTTAGGAGAGTCCAAACCATCCCAGGGAAGAAGGAATCCCCCAGCATAGCACAGTGGATCTGCCATAATGTGATCAGATTGCTTCTTTAAGTGGGACCTAATATGCTCTGCATCTCTGGGTGGAACTTCCCAACCAGGGCCTCCAGCAACTCCCACTGATGTTGTCTGGCTGGCAGAGGTTTAAAAACTTCCTGGGCCAGAGTTCCTAGAGAGAGGGGTTGGCCACCATCTTTGCTGTTTCAGCCTCCAGGCTTTGGAGAGCCCAATCTGATGAAGGGCAGAAATGGTACCCCGCACAGCATGGCTGATCTATGAAAGTGGGGCTAGATGGCTTAAGTGGGTCCCCAATCCTATTCCTCCTAGCTGGGTGAGACCTACCAACTGGGGTTTCCAGTCACCTCCTACAGGTGTGTTCCAGCCCTCAACATGTCTGCACCCGCCCTGGGATGGAGCTCCCAGGGAAGGGAGTGGGCTGCTATCTTTCTTGTTTCACAGCCTTCACTGGTGATACCCCCAGATACTGGAAAATCCGAGGTGACAAGAGAGTGGAGCAGATGCCCAACAAACTACAGCAGCCCCACACAAAATGGCCAAACAGTTAAAAGGAAGAGAAACAAACAAAAATCTCATTCAAAGGCCAGCAACCTCAAAGATTAAAGATAGATAGGCACACAAAGGTGAGAATCACAACAAGAATACTAAAAACTCAAAAATCAGGGTGCTCTCCCTCTCCCAAACGACCACACTACTTCTCCAGCAAGAGTTCAGAATAAGGGTGAGGCTGTGATCCCTGAAATAACAGAAGTAGACCCCAGAATGTGGATAAAAATGAACTTCACTGATCTAAAGGAGCATGCTCTAACTCAATACAAGAAAGCTAAAAATTACAATATAATATTGCAGGAGCTGACAAACAAATTAGCCAGGATAGAGAGGAGCCTAACCAACCCGATAGCACTGTAAAACACAATACAAAAATTTCATAATGCAATCACAAGTATTAATGAGGAAAGAAACTCAGAGCTTGAAGTTTGTATTTCTGAAAGAAGACATGCAGAGAAGAATAGAAAAAAAGAATGAAAGGAATAAACAAAACCTTTGAGAAATATGGGATTATGTAAAGAGACCAAATCTACAACTGATTGGTGTACTTGAAAGAGCTGGGGAGAATGGAACCAATCAGGAAAACATATTTCAGGATATCATCAATGAGAACTTCCCCAACCTTGCTACACTGGCCAACAATTCAGAAAATGGAGAGAAGTTCAGTAAGATACTCCAAGAAAAAATCATACCCAAGACACGTAAACGTCAGATTCCCCAAACTTGAAATGGAAGAAAAAAAAAGAAAAAAAAGCTCAGCCGCAGAGAAAAGCCAAGTCACCTACAAAAAGAAGTTGATCAGACTAAGAGCAGAGCTGTCAGTGAGAACCCTACAAGCCAAAAGAGATTGGGGGCCAATATTTAACGTTCTTAAAGAAAATAAACTTTAAGCCAGAATTTTATATCTGGCCAAACTAAGCTTAATCTGGGGAGAAATAACATCCCTTTCAGACAAGCAAATTCCGAGTTAATTCATGAACACCAGACATGCTTTTCAAGAGCTCCTGAAGGAAGCACCAATTTGGAAAGGGAAAATTATTACCAGCCACCATAAAAACACACTCAAGTACACAGACCATTGACACTATAAATCAACCACATAAACAAGTCTGAAAAATAAAAATAACCAGCTAGCATCAAGATAACAAGATAAAATCTACGCATAACAATACTTAACTTAAATGTAAATGGGATAAATGCCCCAGTTGAAACACACAGGGTGGCAATTGTATAAAAACCAAGACCCATTGGTATGCTCTTCAAGACACCCATCTCACATGCGGGGACACACATAGGCTAAAAATAAAGGGATGGAGGAAATTTCACCAAGCAAGTGGAAAACCTAAAAAAGCAAGGGTTGCAGTCTTACTTTCCAACAAAACAGACTTTAAACCAACACAGATTAAAAACAACAACAACAACAAAGAGGGTCATTACATAATGGCAAAGAATTCAATTCAACAAGAATTAACTATTCTAAATATATATGCACCCAACACAAGAGTACCCAGATTCATATAACAAGTTTCTAGATATCTTGAAAGAGACTTAGAACACCACACAATAATAGTGACCGACTTTAACATCCCACTGACAGTATTAGAAAGATTATTGAGACAGAAAATTAACAAAGGTGTTCAGGACCTGAACTTAGCTCTGGATCAAATGGACATGATATATATTTACAGAACTCTCCACATGAAAACAGCAGAATATACATTCTTCTCATCACTACATGACACTTTCTCTGAAATTGGTCACTTAGCCAGAAGTAAAACACTCTTCAGCAAATGCAAAAGAACTGAAATCATAATAAACAGTGGCTCAGATCACAGCACAATCAAATTAAAACTCACGATGAAATAATTTACTGAAAACCATAAAATTAAATGGAAATTGAATCACCTGCTCCTGAATAACTTTTGGGTAAATAATGAAATTAAGGCAGATATCAAGGAGTTCTTTGAAACCAATGAGAACAAAGACAAAACATACCAGAATCTCTGGGACACAGCTAAGGCAGTATTAAGATGAAAATTTATGGCATTAAATGCCCACATTAAAATGCCAGAAATGTCTCAAGTTACAACTTCACAACAAAAATAACTACAGGAACAAGAGCAAAGAAGTTCTAGAGCTAGCAGAAGACAAGAAATAACCAAAATCAGACCTGAAATGATGGAGATAGGGACAAGAGAAACCATTCAACAGATCAACAAATTCAGGAGCTGTTTCTTTTTCTTTGAAAAAACCAATAATATAAATACACCAGTAGTAGACTAATAAGGAAGAAAATATCAAAAATTAAAATGAACACAATCAGAAATAATAAGGGTTACCACTGACCCCACAGAAATAAAAATAACCATCAGAAAATATCATAAACACCTCTATGCCTATAAGATAACAAATTCAGTAGAAATGGATAAATTTCTGGACACATACACCCTTCAAGAATAAACCAGGAAGAAATTGAATCCCTGAAAAGACAAACAACAGGCTCTGAAATTCAGGCAGTAATAAATAGCCTACAAACCACAAAAAGATCAGAAACACAAAGATTAAAAGCTGAAGGTTATGACATTTATGAAGAAGAACTGGTACAATTCCCACTAAAATTATTTCAAAAAACTGAAACAGAGGGCTTCCTTCCCGACTCTTTCTATGAGACCACATCATCCTGGTACCAAAACCTGGCAGACACACAAGAAAAAAAACAAAACTTCAAAAAATTTGCAAGAAGAAAACAACCCCATCAAAAAGTGGGCGAAGGACATGAACAGACGCTTCTCAAAAGAAGACATTTATGCACCCAAAAAACACATGAAAAAATGCTCACCATCACTGGCCATCAGAGAAATGCAAATCAAAACCACAATGAGATACCATCTCACACCAGTTAGAATGGCAATCATTAAAAAGTCAGGAAACAACAGGTGCTGGAGGAGATGTGGAGAAATAGGAACACTTTTACACTGTTGGTGGGACTGTAAACTAGTTCAACCATTGTGGAAGTCAGTGTGGCAATTCGTCAGGGATCTAGAACTAGAAATACCATTTGACCCAGCCATCCCATTTCTGGGTATATACACAAAGGACTATAAATCATGCTGCTTTAAAGACACATGCACACGTTTGTTTATTGCGGCACTATTCACAATAGCAAAGACTTGGAACCAACCCAAATGTCCAACAATGATAGACTGGATTAAGAAAATGTGGCACATATACACCATGGAATACTATGCAGCCATAAAAAATGATGAGTTCATGTCCTTTGTAGGGACACGGATTAAATTGGAAATCATCATTCTCAGTAAAATATCACAAGAACAAAAAAACCAAACACCGCATGTTCTCACTCATAGGTGGGAATTGAACAATGAGATCACATGGACACAGGAAGGGGAACATCACACTCTGGGGACTGTTGTGATGAGGGGGGAGGGGAGAAGGATAGCATTGGGAGATATACCTAATGCTAAATGACGAGTTAATGGGTGCAGCACACAAGCATGGTGCATGCGTACATATGTAACTAACCTGCACATTGTGCACATGTACCCTAAAACTTAAAGTATAATAATAATAAAATAAAAAAAGAAAAAAAAAAACTTCATGCCAATATTTTTGATGAACATTTATGCAAACATTCTTAACAAAATAGGGGCAAACCAAATCCAGCAGCGCATCAGAAAGCTTATCCACCACAATCAAGTAGGCTCCATGTGTGGGATGCAACTTTAATTCAACGTACACAAATCAATATGTGATTTATCACATAAACAGAACTAAAGACAAAAGCCACATGATTGTCTGAATAGATGCAGATAAATCTTTGCATCCATAAAATTCAGCATCCATTCTTGTAAAAACTCTCAATAAACTAGGTATTGAAAAAAACATACTTCAATATAATAAGAACCATGTATGACAAACCCACAGCCAATATCATACTGAAAGGGCAAAAGCTGAAAGCATTCCCTTTTAAAACGGGCACAAGACAAGGATGCCCTCTCTCATGACTCCTATTTCAGATAGTATTGGAAGTACTGGGCAGAGCAATCAGGTAAGAGAAAAAGGCATTCAAATTGAAAGAAAAGAAATTAAACAACACCTGATGTCAGACGACATGATTCTATATCTTGAAAACCCCTATTGTCTCAACCCCAAAGCTTCTTAAGCTGATAAATATCTTTAACAAAGTCCCAAGATACAAAATAAATGGGCAAAAATCACTAGCACTAAATCCTTATATACCAACAACAGTCAAGCCAAGAGCAAAATCGTGAATGAACACTCATTCACAGTTACCACAAAAAGAATAAAATACCAAGGAATGTATCTAACAAGAGAAGTGAAAGGCCACTACAAGGAGAACTATAAACCACTTCTCAAAGAAATCAGACATGACATAAACAAATAGAAAAACATTTCATGCTTATGGATAGAAAGAGTTAATATTGTTAAAGTAGACACACTCCACAAAGAAATTTATAGAGTTAATAGTATTTCCGTTAAACTACCAATGACATTTTTCACAAAACTAGAAAAGCTATTTTAAAATTTATATGGAACCAACAAAGGCCTGAATAGTCAAGACAACCCCAAACAAAAAGAACTAAGCTGGAGGCATCACACTACCCAACTTCAAACTGTGCTACAGGGCTACAGAAACCAAAACAGCATGGTACTGGTACAAGAACAGACACACAGACCAATGAAACAGAATAGAGGACCCAGAAATAAGACTGCACACCTACAACTAACTGATCTTCGACAAACCTGACAAAAACAAGCAATGAAAAAACGACTCTGTACTCAATAAATGGTGCTGGGATAACTGCCTAGCCATGTGCAAAAAATTGAAACTGAACCCCTTCCTCCATCATCCTCTGCAACTAACACAGGAACAGAAAACTAACCACCGCATATTCTCACTCATAAGTGGGAGTTGAACAATAAGAACACATGGACACTGGAAGGGAAACAACACAACTGGGGCTAGTCAGGGAATGGGAGTCGAAGGGAGGGAGAGCATTAGGATAACTAGCTAATGCATGTGGGACTTGAAGCCTGGATAACGGGCTGATAGGTGCAGTAAACCACCATGGCACACATATACCAATGTAACAAACCTACACATTCTGCACTTGTACTTCAGAACCCAATTTAAATTTAAAAAATAAAGAAAGATTCCTTACATCATATACAACAATAAACTCAACATGGTTTAAATGTAAAACCCAAGACTATAAAAACTTTGGAAGACAACCTAGGCAATACCATTCGGGACATAGGCATGGGCAAATATTTTATGATGAAGGCGCAAAAGCAATTAGAACAAAGAGAACATTGACAAATGGGATCTAATTAAACTAAAGAGCTTTTGCACAGCAAAAGAAACTATCAACAGAGTAAACAGACAATGTATAGAATGGGAGAAAATTTTTGCAAACTGTGCATCTGACAATAATCTAATTTCTAGCATCCATAAGGAACATAAATTTACACGAGAAAAACAAACAACCTTATTAAAAATTGGCCAAAGGACACACAGAAACACTTCTTGAAAGAAGACATACATGCAGCCAATAAGCGTATGAAACAGAAGTTCAACATCACTGACCATTAGAGAAATGTAAATCCAAACCACAATGAGACATCATTTTATACCAGGTATAATGGTTACCATGAAAAAATCAAAAAATCACAGATGCTGACAAAGTTGTGGAGAAAAAGCAACATTTTTACCCTGTTGGTCGAGTTCAAACGTTGTGGAAGACAGTGTGGTGATTCTTCAAAGACCTAAAGAAAAGAATACCATTTGACCTAGCAATCTCATTACTGGGTATATACCCAAACAAATATAAGTCATTCTATTATAAAGATACCTGCACGCTCAAGTTCATCACAGCCCTATTCACAATAGCAAAGACATCAAATCAGCCTACATGTTCATCAATAATAGACTGGTTGAAGAAAACGTAGTTCATATACAACATGGAGTACTATGCAGCCATAAAAAAGCACAAGATTATGTCCTTTGTAGGGACATGGATGGAGCTGGAGGCCATTATCCTTAAAAAACTAACAGAAACAGAAAACCAAATACCACATTTTCTCACTTATAAGTGGAGGGTAGATGATGAGAACACACAGAAACATGGAGGGGAGCAACACGCACCAGGGCCTATCAGGAGGTAGGGGGTGAGAGGAGGGAGAGAATCAGAAAAAATAACTAATAGTTAGTAGACTTAATACCTGGGTGATAAAACAATCTGCACAACCAAACTTCGGGACGTATGTTTCCATATTTAAAGAACCTGCACATCCTGCCCATATACCCCTGAACTTAAAACAAAGTTCAAAAAAGAAAAACATTTTAGCAAAATGACAGACTATTTTTGACTACCTTCGTGTACGGTTCAGAGTCAGACTGCCCAGCTCTAACATCCTTATTTATGAGAAAGAAAGCATTCTCTCTCTTATCTGCACTATTATATTGGGTTTTCTTTTTTAATTTTTTTGAGACGGAGTTTCACTCTTATTGCCCAGACTGGAGTGCAATGGCGCGATCTCGGTTCACCACAATCTCTACCTCCCGGGTTCAAGCGATTCTCCTGCCTCAGCCTCTCAAGAAGCAGGGATTACAGGCATGCACCACTACGCCTGGAAAATTTTGTATTTTTGGTAGAGACTGGGTTTCTCTATGTTGGTCAGGCTGGTCTTAAACTCCAGACCTCTGGTGATCCGTCTGCCTCAACCTCCCAATGTGTTGGGATAACAGGCGTGAACTACAGCACCCGGTCTGGGTTTTCTTCTATATGTAGGAAAATGTAATCCTAACTAAAGTGCTAGCTTTGCCATGGAATCTCTGTGTAATTCTGGATGTTATGTCACTTTCCTAAGACTTTTTTCTATCTGCGTAGTGGTGGAGGCAGTAGTGGGGAAGATTTAATTATACAAAGGGTCCATCAATCCATGTGTTAAGTGAGGATGTCACTACTTTCCAGACTCAGAGGACAGGGGACATATTGTTATGCTCCATGGGAAGCTGTTGGGGGGTGGAGGTGGGGCTCACTTGCACACATTGTCTGTGGGCCTTGAAAGATCAAGTGTGTATGACCCTTCTTGAACAGAAGGTCCATGTGCCCAGTGCAGAACCCATCTATTTCTTCCCAAGTGAGGAAGATCTGGGAACACCCTGATCACAGCCTTGCTACACCAATCCTAGTTGGTAGGGACGTTAGACCATATGCATGTTGAGCTGTGGCTTAAGCATTTTGACATCTCACATCTCATTGGATATCTGAAAAACTGAGGTCTGGAGAGAAGCAGGGACTGGCCCAGAGATGATGAAGTGGGCAGAGTCCAAGGGAAAAAAGAGCATTCTGACCTCCTAGGCCAGGGCTCAACACTCTCATGGGGTTTGTTTTGGGAATGAGTCCCTGAGATCCTGGGGATTTTTGCCAATTTTCTCGTCATATGAAGCAAACTCATGTCTGCATCATTAGACTTCCACAGGTTTGTGCATACACACACAGACTTCTCAGGCTAAAGGTCATAAGAGGAGTTAACGCTGATGGAGTGATGAGAAGAAAAAAGATAGAGGATAGGGGCAGCTTTGTCATGGGGTAGAAGCACCCCATCTTCTGGTAACATGCCCAGGACCCATAACATGGGCAGGGGAAGGCAATAGGCTGATGGCTTGAGAGGCTCAAGGCTTCCATGGATCTGACTGGGCTGCAGCCAACACCAGGATAGCTTTCCAAGGACAAAACCTTACTTTCTCCATTCATTAATCTGCATAATTAAAATGGTAAGGAATCCCCCTACACCCAATATGGAGAGGAATACAGTAGTGAAAACCTTCAATTTTTCCCTGTACAAATTGACATAATTGAACTGTGTGACCCCTAAATTTGAAAGGCTTAAAGAAGTGAGTTGACCTTGCTGTCTATCAATTACCACTGTACTCTCAGAACTTTGGAAATTGCTCTGTGTCCTCCGAAGGTCTTTCAGAGCAGAAAGTGGCCTAGGGGTGTGCGGGACTGAGCACTCAGGCTGGTGTAGAATGTGACAGATCCTCAGACCACTGCTCTGGGATCCAAGGAGAAGACCTTCTCGGTCAGAGCTTTGGGGATCTTTTTTTTGGAGGGGGCGATCTTTTTTGAAAGTGGAGACAGAATCGTTTTCCAGGGCTCCCTCATTTGCCCTCCTGTTTCATAGTATTTCTTTTTTCTGTCTTTCTTTCTTTCTTTCTTTCTTTCTTTCTTTCTTTCTTTCTTTCTTTCTTCTTTCTTTCTTTCTTCTTTCTTTTTCTTTCTTTCTTCTTTCTTTCTTTCCTTCTTTTTCTTTCTCTTTCTTTCTTTCTCCTTCGTTTCTTTTCTTTCTTCCTTTCTTTCTTCTTTCTCTTTCTTTTGTTCTTCCTTCATTCCTTCCTTCCGTTTCTTTCTTTCTTCTTTCTTTCTTTCCTCTTCCTTCATTCCTTCCTTCCTTTTCTTTCTTTCTTTCTTTCTTTCTCTTTCTTTCTCCTTCCTTCCTCCCTCCCTTTCTTTTCTTTCTTTCCTTATTTTCTTTTTTCTTTCTTCTTTCTTTCTTTCTTCTTTCTTTCTTTCTTTCTTTCTTTCTTTCTTTCTTTATCAGAGTCTCTCTCTTCTCGCTCTTTCACGGGACTGGAGTGGAGTGGCATGATCTCGGCTCACTGCAACCTCCACCTCCCGGGTTCAAGTGATTCACTGCAACCTCCACCTCCCAGGTTCAAGTGATTCTCCTGCCTCAGCCTCCTGAGTAGCTGGGAATATAAGGGCGTGCCACCAAGCCTGGCTAATTTTTGTATTATTAGTAGAGACGGGGTTTCGCCATGTTGTCCAGGATGGTCTCGATCTCTTCACCTCGTGATCTGCTTGCATCAGCCTCTGAAAAAAACTGAGATTATAGGTGTGAGCCACCACACAAAGCCTACAGTTTATTTTTCTTTGCTTGTTAAAATGTTTTAGTCAGCTAAAATTTACACAATATAGAGTTCTACATACTATCTAATATAAAGTGTAAAATTCAGTGCTTTTCAGTTTATTTACAATGCTATGCAACTGTCACCCTTATCAAATTCCAAAATAGTTTCATCACCCTTTCACCAAAAAAACTCCATATCCATTAAGCAGTAATTTATCATTCATCCACCGAATTTCCTTGGTAACCACTGATTGACTTTCTATCTCTAGTACTCTCTTTCTTTCTTTCCTTTTTTTTTTTTTTTTTTGGTGTCTCACTCTGTCACCCATGCTAGAGTGCAGTGGCACGATCTCGGCTCACTGCAAGCTCCACCTCCCTGGTTCACGCCATTCTCCTGCCTCAGCCTCCAGGGTAGCTGGGACTACAGATGCCTGTCAGCACGCCCAGCTATTTTTCTTTGTATTTTTAGTAGAGACGGGGTTTCACCATGTTAGCCAGCATGGTCTCGATCTCCTGACATCGTGATCTGCCTGCTTCGGCCACCCAAAGTGCTGGGATTACAGGCGTGAGCCATCACACCCGGCTTCTATTTCTAGTTTTCTATTCTAGTCACTTTATAGAAATATAATAATATAATATGTGACCTTTTTTCTTTGGCTTTTCTCTTTGAGCGTGTTTTCATTATTTATCCATGTTGTGGCACATATCAGTTCTGTATTTATTTTTATGGCTAGCTAATACTCCATTGTATAAATAATATTCTATTGGCCAGGGACGATGGCTCACACCTATAAACTCAGTATTTTGGGAGGCTGAGGCTGGTGGATCACCTGAGGTCAGGAGTTCTAGACCAGCCTGGCTGACATGGTGAAACACTGTGTCTACTAAAAATACAAAAATTAGCCGGGCGTGGTTCCTGAAAGCCCAATTGCTCAGGAGGCTGAGGCCAGGGAATCTCTTGAACCCAGGAGGTGGAGGTTACAGTGAGCTGAGATCGTGCCACTGCACTCCAGCATGGGTGACAGAGCAAGACTGTCTCAAAAAAAAAGAAAGAAAATGAGAGGAAATATGTGCAAACTACACAGCTGACAAGCGATTGATAAGCAGAATACAGAATAAACAAAAAACTAAATAAAAAATTAGTTTAACTTTAAAATGGGCAATAATCTTCAGAAACATTTCTGGAAAATATAAGGGGCATAAACATAGAACCTAAAAGTTAGAGAAGAATTATGAAAAAACTGAAGGATATAGAAAAAATAATTTCAGACTATTCACATTAAAATTTAATTAGAGAGGGGGTGGAGCCAAGATGGGCGAATAGGAAAAGCCTTAGTCTAGAACTCCCAGCATCGGCAATGCAGAACACAGGTGATTTCTGCATTTCCAACTGAGGTACCGGGCTCATCTCACTGGGGAGTGTCAGAAAGTGGGTGCAGGACAGTGGGTGCAGCGCACCCCATGTGAGCCAAAGCATGGTGAGGCATCGCCTCACCCAGGAAGTGCAAGGGGTCAGGGAATACCCTTTCCTAGTCAAAGAAAGGGGTGACAGATTGCACCTGGAAAATCGGGTGACTCCCACCCTAACACTGTACTGTTCCAAAGGTCTTAGCAAACGGCATACCAGGAGATTATATCCTGCACCTGGCTCAGAGGGTCCTACGCCCACAGAGCCACAATCATTGCTAGCACAGCAGTCTGAGATCAAACTGCAAGGCAACAACAAGCCTGGGGGAGGGGCGCCCACCATTGCCGTGGCTTGAGTAGGTAAACAAAGCAGCCAGGAAGCTCCAACTGGGTGGAGCCAACTGCATCTCAAGGAGGCCTGCCTGACTCTGTAGACTCCACCTCTGGGGGCAGGGAATAGCCAAACAAATGGCAGCAGAATCCTCTGCAGACTTAAATGTCCCTGTCTGACAGCTTTGAAGAGAGTAGTGGTTATCCCAGCATGCAGCTGGAGATCTGAGAACAGACAGACTGCCTCCTCAAGTGGGTCCCTGACCCCCGAGTAGCCTATCTGGGAAGCATCCCCAGTAGGGGCAGACTGACACCTCACACGGCCGGGTACTCCTCTGAGACAAAATTTCCAGAGGAACAATCAGGCAGCAATATTTGCTTTTCACCAATATCCGCTGTTCTGCAGCCTCCACTGCTGATACCCAGGCAAACAGGGTCTGGAGTGGACCTCCAGCAAACTCCAACAGACCTGCAGCTGAGGGTTCTGACTGTTAGAAGGAAAACTAACAAACAGAAAGTACATCCACAACAAAATCCCATCTGTACATCACAATCATCAAAGACCAAAGGAGAGAAAACTAAAAAGATGGAGAAAAAACAGAGCAGAAAAACGGAAAATTCTAAAAATCAGAGTATCTCTCCACCTCCAAAGGAACACAGCTCCTCACCAGCAATGGAACAAAGCTGGACAGAGAATGACTTTGACGAGTTGAGAGAAGAAGGCTTCAGACGATCAAACTACTCCGAGCTAAAGGAGGAAGTTCAAACCCATGGCAAAGAAGTGAAAAACCTTTAAAAAAATTAGATGAATAGCTAACTAGAATAACCAATGCAGAGAAGTTCGTAAAGGACCTGATGGAGCTGAAAACCAATGTACGAGAAGTACGTGATGAATGCACAAGCCTCAGTAGCCAATTCGATGAACTGGAAGAAAGGGTGTCAGTGATGGAAGATCAAATGAATGAAATGAAGTGAGAAAAGAAGTTTAGAGAGAAAAAGATAAAAAGAAATGAACAAAACCTCCAAGAAATATGGGACTGTGTGAAAAGACCAAATCTACATCTGATTGGTGTACCTGAAAGTTATGAGGAGAATGGAAGCAAGTTGGAAAACACTCTGAAGGATATTATCCATGAGAACTTCCCCAATCTAGCAAGGGAGGGTGACATTCAAATTCAGGAAATACAGAGAACACCAAAAAGATAATCCTCAAGAAGAGCAACTCCAAGACACATAACTGTCAGATTCACCAAAGTTGAAATGAAGGAAAAAATGTTAAGGGCAGCCAGAGAGAAAGGTCGGGTTACCCACAAAGGGAAGCCCATCAGACTAACAGCTGATCTCTCGGCAGAAACTCTACAAGCCAGAAGAGTGGGGAACAATATTCAACATTCTTAAAGAAAAGAATTTTCAATCCAGAATTTCATATTCATTCAAACTAAGCTTCATAAGTGAAGGAGAAATAAAATCCTTTACATACAAGCAAACGATGAGAGATTTTGTCACCACCAGGCCTGCCCTAAAAGAGCTCCTGAAGGAAGCACTAAACATGGAAAGGAACAACCGGTACCAGCCACTGCAAAAACATGCCAAGTTGTAAAGACCATCGAGGCTAGGAAGAAACTGCATCAACTAACGAGCAAAATAACCAGCTAACATCATAATGACAGGATCAAATGCACACAAAACAATATTAACCTTAAAAGTAAATGGACTAAATTCTCCCATTAAAAGACACAGACTGGCAAATTGGATAAAGAGTCAAGACCCATCAGTGTTCTGTATTCAGGAAACGCATCTCACGTGCAGAGACACACATAGGCTCAAAATAAAGGGATGGAGGAAGATCTACCAAGCAAATGGAAAACAGAAAAAGGCAGGGGTTACAATCCTAGTGTCTGATAAAACAGACTTTAAAACAATAAAGATCAAAAGAGACAAAGAAGTCCATTACGTAATGATAAAGGGATCAATGCAATAAGAAGAGCTAATTATCCTGAATATATATGCACCCAATATAGGAGCACACAGATTCATAAAGCAAGTCCTTAGAGACCTAGAAAGAGACTTAGACTCCCACACAATAGTAATGGGAGATTTTAACACCCCTCTGTCAACATTAGACATATCAATGAGACAGATAGTTAACAAGGATATCCAGGAATTGAACTCAGCTCTGCACCAAGCAGACCTAATAGACATCTACAGAACTGTCCACCCCAAATCAACAGAATATACATTCTTCTCAGCACCGCACCGCACTTATTCCAAAATTGACCACATAGTTGGAAGTAAAGCACTCCTCAGCAAATTGTAAAAGAACAGAAATTATAAAAACCTCTCTCTCAGACCACACTGCAATAAAACTAGAACTCAGGATTAAGAAACTCACTCAAAACCGCTCAACTACATGGAAACCAAACAACCTGCTCCCGAATGACTACTGGGTACATAACGAAACGAAGGCAGAAATAAAGATGTTCTTTGAAAGCAACGAGAACAAAGACACAACATACCAGAATCTATGGGACACATTCAAAGCAGCGTGTAGAGGGAAATTTATAGCACTAAAGGCCCACAAGAGAAAGCAGAGAAGATCTAAAATTGACACCCTAACATCACAATTAGAAGAACTAGAGAAGCAAGAGCAAACACATTCAAAAGCTAGCAGAAGGCAAGAAATAACTAAGATCAGAGCAGAATTGAAAGAAATAGACACATAAAAAACCCTTCAAAAAATCAGTGAATTCAGGAGCTGGTTTTTGAAACGATCAACAAAATTGATAGACTGCTAGCAAGACTAGTAAAGAAGAAAAGAGAGAAGAATCAAATAGACGCAATAAAAACTGATCATTTATGTGGCTCAAGTTCTCTAATATAACATAGTACGGTCAAAATGGAAGGGTAAAAATTGCAAGACCACCTTAACGTTTGTCATCTTAAGTGTACTATAAAAATGCCTTTTAAATTAATTCAGTGAATAGGTTTTTAAGTGCATGTTTTAGATTATGCTGAACTGTCAAATACCAGCACATCCCTAATTTGCAGTAGATTAACAGCACTTTTTAGCACACATCACAGAGTTGTTCGGTGGCCAAATTGAAAAGGCACCTCCTCTCCATGTGGTCATTCAGAAACTCAAAGTTCTTTCATTATTTGTCTTCATCATCCATGAGTCGTGGTTGCCGTTTGTGTTCAGTCCCCTGAAAATAAAGTACTTTAAGAAATGCATGCGAGAAGACTTGATGGACTCATCTTAATGTGACTCACATCCATCTCACTCTACAACCATTAACAATAACTGGTCACGTTTCCACATCTAATGCAAATGAGGCTAAGAAATGTAATTCTGCTGTGTCCCTAATAAATGGGAGAATAGAATTTGTTGAATGACCAGAGTTTTCCGTAACATTGTGTCACTCATATGGATTTACTGTGTTTCTCAAATATTTATTAAACATCTGTCATAGCCAAGCACTGTGATAAGGAGTACAGGGAGGACAGAGAGCTGACTCAGCAGAGTCCTAGTCTGAAAGAAACTCACAATCTAAGAAAATAAGAAAAGTCATGTTAGGTGCTGCTATAAAGGCACATGCACACGTATGTTTATTGTGGCACTACTCACAATGCAAATACTTGGAACCAACCGAAATGTCCAACAATGATAGACTGGATCAAGCAAATGTGGCCCATATACACCATGGAATACTATGCAGCCATAAAAAATGATGAGTTCATGTCCTTTGTGTGTACATGGATGAAGCTGGAAAAGATAATTCTCAGCAAACTATCACAAGGACAAAAAAAAACAAACACCACATGTTCTCGCTTATAGGTGGGAATTGAACAATGAGAACACTTGGACACAGGAAGGGTAACATTACCCACTGGGGAATGTTGTTGGGGGGGGAGGGGGGAGGGATAGCATTTGGAGATATACCTAATGTAAATGACGAGTTAATGGGTGCAGCTCACCAATATGGCACATGTATACATAAGTAACAAACCTGCACGTTGTGCACATGTACCCTAGAACTTAAAGTATAATAAATATATGTATAACATATGTATATATTATATACATGTTCAAGGGATTCTCCTGCCTCAGCCTCCCAAGTAGCTGGGATTACAAGCGCTGCCATTACTCCCAGCTATTTTTTGTATTTTTAGTAGAGAAGGAGTTTTGCCATGTTGGCCAGGACGGTCTGGATCTCCTAACCTCATGATCCACACCCCTTGGCCTCCCAGAGTGCTGGGATTACAGGTGTGAGCCACAGCCCCCGGCCTATATGAGTTTTCAAATAGTTTTTTCTAGCTCCGTAAAAAATTTCATTGGCAGTTTGATGGAAATAGTATTAAATCTGTAAATTTCTTTGTGAAGTATAGCCATTTTAGTGATATTGGATCTTCCTATCCGTGAGCATGGGATGGTTTTCCATTTGTTTGTATCTTCTCTGATTTCTTTGAGCAGTGTTTTGTAAATCTCATTGTAGAGCTCTTTCACCTCCCTGGTGAGCTGCATTTCCAGATATTTTATTATTTTAGTGGCAATTGTGAATGGGATGGCCTTTCTGATTTTGCTGTCAGTGTGGCTATCGTTGGTGTAGAAAAATGTTAGTGATCTTTGCACATTGATTTAGTATCTTGAAACTTTGCTGAAGCTGTTTGTTAACTAAAGAAGCTTTGTAGATGAAACTACAGGGTTTTCTAGATAGAGAATTATGTTATCTGCAAACAGAAATAGTTTGGCTTTCTCTCTTCCTATTTGGATGTTCTTCGGATTTCTTTCTCTAGCCTGATTGCTCTGGTCAGTACTGTCAATACTAAGTTGAATAGAAATGGCAAGAGAGGGCATTCTTGCCTTCTACTGGTTTTAAAAAATAATGTTCCCGGCTTTTGCCCATTCAACACATTGTTGGCTGTGGGTTTCTTATAGACGGCTTTTATTATTTTCTGCGTCTATTGAGATAATCATCTTTTTTTTGTTTTTAGTTCTGTTTATGTAATGTATTACATTTATTGATTTGCACATGATGGACCAACCTTGCGTCCTAAGGAGGAAGCCTACTTGATCATGACGGATTACCTGTTTGATGTGCTGCTGGATTTGCCTCCCAAATATTTTGTTGAGAACTTTTGTATTGATGTTCGTCAAGAATATTGGCCTGAAGTTTTCTTTCCCTTCTTTCTTTTTTTTTTTTTTTTTTGACGGTGTCTCCCTCTGTTGCCCAGGCTGGAGTGGATTGCACTGGCGCGATCTCTGCTTAATGCAATCTCTGCCTCCTGAGTTCACGCCATTCTCCTGCTTCAGCCTCTCAAGTAGCTGGGACTACAGGTGTCTGCTACCAAGCCCGGCTAATTTTTTGTGTTTTTGTTGTGTCTCTGCCTGTTTTGGTGTCAAGATCATGCTGTCCTCATAGAATGAGTTGGGGAGAAGACCCTCCTTCTCAATTTTTGGGTATAGTTTCTGTAGGAATTGTACCAGCTCTTCTTTGTACATTTGGTAGAATTTGGCTGTAAGTCCATAAAGTCCAGAGCTTTTTTTTTTTGATTGGCAAGCTACTTATTACCTATTTAATATCAGAGTTTTTTACTGGTCTGTTCAGGAAATCATTGTCTTCCTGGCTTAATCTTGAGAGAGTGTGTATATCTAGGAATCTATTTATTTCGTTAAAGTTTTCTAGTTTGTGTGTATAAAGTTGTTCATGTTAGTGCTGTCCCCAGTTAAATAAAAACAACTATTAGAAACCACTAAAGTTTAACACTTGTTTTTATATCTTTAATCAATTTTTATTTAATTTTTCTACTTGGAATGTGATAAAGATTCAACTTTACTGGTTTAAATGTGGACTTGTTTTCCCAGCATTTCTTGTGTAACAAACTGTCTTTACATAATGATTAAGGCACACTTTTAAAAAGACAAACAATAATTTATGAAAGGGTTTTTTGGAGTATCTATTTTATTTATTTGATCTCCACAATTGTTCTTATGCCACTATCAAACTGTTATAATTTTAGTAGCTTTTTATGTTTTCAAATTTAAAATTGTGAGCCACCTAATTTTGTCCTTCTTTTCAAGATTATTCTGTACATTCAGAGGATGTTCAAATTCCATATGAAGTTTTAAATGAGCTATTTTCTTTTTGCAGAAGAAAAGTTGGAAAAATGAAAACTTGGGATTACAGTACATCTGTACACTCCTTTGGGCAGTGGTATTGTCATCTTAACTTCATTAAATCTTCCGGTTCAGGAACATGGAATTTGTTGCCAGTTATTTAAGTCCTTTTTAGTTTTTTTCATAAACATTCTGATCCTGTATTTTTTATTGTACAAGATATTTACCTCCTTATTAAATTTATTGCTAAGAATTATATTATTTTAATGTTGTTGCGAACAATTGTTTTCTTAATTTACTGTCAAATTGTTAATTGTATATGGAAATGCAGTTTATGTTTCTGTGTTGTAAAAATAATTATTTCATGTCTCAAATCTAGATTAGCAATTCATTCAGAATAAATATGCTGTATATATTACTAGTCATTTAACTTTTTCCAATAAGCTAACCAATTTCAATATGTCTAAATATGTAAAAATGTTAAATTGTGTTAGATTTTTCACTTACTCTCACCTGTCATTTATCTGTCAGAATTACATTACTGCGCACTAGAACTTTCATTTCTGGGGCCGGGCACGGAGGCTCATGCCTATATTCCTAGCACTTTGTGAGGCCAAGGCAGGCGGACCACCTGAGATCAGGAGTTCGAGACCTGTCTGGCCAATATGGTAAAACCCCGCCTCTACTAAAAATACAAAAATAAGCTGAGCGTGGTCTTGGGAGACTGTATTCCCAGCTACTTTGGAGGCTGACACTGGAGAATCACTTGAACAATCCCACAACACAAAACAACCGAGGTTAGTCTTCATGTCGAAAGTCTTCAATGGATTGTCTTTTATCACAGGATTGCTTAGTGCAACATTTAATGGGAAAGATGCATGCTACTGAGATGTAGTTCTCCACAAGTCTCTTAGAGTTTGTTGTTTTGTTGTGGATTACATCACATACCTGTCCTGTTCCACGTTATTTTTCAAAGATTTTTGTACACAAATAACCTGGAAAAAGGGTAGTAGTTTTTCTCTTCAGGTGAATGGCAGATAAATTACTCAATCAATATAATAAAGACAATTTTTCTTTGTGACGCAAAGGTTGGACAGGCTTCCATGTAACCTACTTTAAAAAGATTGAGGTTTCTTAGTCTTGAGTCTGCTCAGCTATGACACAAATCTTCCCCATGTACAATGTCCATATGAGCCTTTTGAAATCCTTCAAAAAACGTAGTATGGACAAGGAGAACTAATACAAATATGAGGCTTTTGCCTCCAGGTAAGCAGTAAATAGTAGGTATTTTTTTTCATACTTCAGTGTCTCATGCCTTCTACCAGCATCGATGAAAATGGAAGGTTAATATGTTGTTTACAAATGCTATAAAATCTTAGATACGTCACAATTATTTAATTTTGGAGATGACTATGGCATGCTGAGATAAACACAACTTTCTGAAAGGGGAAAAGGAACAAATACTTGAAGAGCTTGCAAGGGATATGAGAAGTTCCCCCAGGACCAACAGCAAATTCTCTCGGCCAAGTGGTTAGTTTGGTGAAGCAAGAGATCAAGACTCTGCTGTCTGCTAATGAGACTGATCCTTGAGAGGATTATAACAATGAACCTGAGAGCTTTGCATGTTCACTTTTCTCCTGCTGGAAAATCAAGGAGCTCTTAAAGCTAATGTTGAGGTTTGGATGAGTCCAAAACACTAGAAGTTCATGTGGTTCAGCTGTGAGCAGCAAAAAGACTGCAAAAAGCCACATTAAGCAGGTTTTGTAAGTCTCTCTCCTTTACCCACATGAAGGAACCCATTCCCTCTGCACTTCTAATTTTTGTCCTTTGTCTACAGCTAACTTCAGCAACTTTAAATATTAAACTACATACGATTGGAGGTTTGGATGGGGGAACACAAATGTATGTAGTTCCTTTGGATACATGTATCTAATTCACCATTCTGTGGAGTCCCTTAGGGTGCACAGGGAGATATAGGTGTTAGGGTGGCTGGAAATGCTGACAAACCTATCATTCTATTAATCCAGTTGCTTCCAGATAATGGAAAGCATGGTAAGTCCACTGACATCCGTGAAGATGAGCACACTGCTACACTTTGGCTGTGAAGTGAGTTTCTTGGTCTGAGCAATGCTAAGTGGAATATCATAGGGATGGATGAGGGATTCTGTGAGTCCATGGAGGGTAGTTTTGGCAGAATTCCACCCAGGGAAAGCAAATTTGTATCCATAGTAAGAGCCTACTCCAGTGAGTACAAACTGTTGCCGCCTATATTATAAAAGTTATTCAACGTAATAAATTTACTACCAGGTGCCTGGTGGATCACCCTGGAAATGATGTCATATCAAAGACTCAGTGTAGATCTGTGCTGCTGTCAAATTAAACATTCAGAATTGACTGTAGCCAGACTGGCCTTTGGGATTCAAAGTTCATATTGCTTAGCCCGTGCATTGCTTCTATTTCTGCTACTATGTTCACCTTGTTTATAAGCCCATTGGGTGATGATGGGGGTGACAGGGAAGTAAGAATGACCCATACTCACGGAACAAGACATTCTGTCCACATCATTATCAAAATCATGCTCTGATACGGTTACCCCTTAGTAGGGATTCATATAGAACAGACATATCTTTATGTAATTTACCCAGTGAGAGAAGTTTATCCACAAAAGTTTTTCTATTTTTTTTTTTTTGCCAGGAATTTTGTAATCATGTTCCTTCCGTGTCATTGGTCATGTAGCCAATTCATGGGCCACAGCAGTGTTGCAGGAGTGAGTATCATAGGATCTCAAACTCCTGTTCTTAAGCAATCCTTGCCTCAACCTCTTAAGTAGCTGAGACTATAGGTGCACCCCACAACGCCTAGCTAATTTTGTTTTATTTTTAGTAGAGATTAGATTTTGCTATGTTTTCCAGGCTGTTCTCACACTCCCCACCTCAAGCGATTCTCCCAGCTTTGCCTGCAAAGTGCTTTGACTAGAGTCAAACCTCCACACCCAGCACCTATAATTTGATATTTTAAACAATACTAGGTAGCGAAAGCAATTACGAAGTTATCTAGGGAAAGAAAGCTCACTATCACAGTGTAAAATTGTATAGATATGATGCGGGCATGTGTGTATACATGCTTGCTTGTGTGCATAGGTGCGTGTTTTCTGAGAAATGGTACCTTATTGCTACCAGGCTAGGATAGCATTCATGTTCTTCTGAAGATGTCAAATATTGAAGCTCCAGGATTCATAGAACAAGATTCCTAAGTGGTTCACGAGAGGGTGAACGATTGAGTAATGGGTATTTTGGAAGAAACAACTGGCCTAGGGACAAGAATAAGTGTGCAAATCATCTGTGTGAAACACGCTTTCTTCGGAGCACGCATTTCATGCACTTCATTCTACTGTGACAGATATTGCTACTCTGAGTTTGGGAGAGATTGAACCTAGGGTCTACTGTGAAACTCTGTAGACTAGACTTCTGTCTGAGGCAGCCCCTGCCTGTAACCGTAACCTGCGCCAAACTCCAATGGAGCATTCTTCTCAATGGATAAATGGAAATTCCGGATGATCCGATGGGCAGAGAGTGTGACTGTTTTTTTCAGGAGCTCTGGTTGAATGGTTTTGGGGACTTTCTGGGAGGATGCTCTGCACCCAGAAAAGTAGTCCAACGGGAATCATGAGAAAATGGGCGACTCCGTGTGCCTCCGTCCCCTCCTACTTCCTCACCCACCCCTCCATCAGGGATCCCACGTATTCCAGGATGACACGTGTTTTAGTTGTCTTTGGGCGACAACTAGCGGCAACCGTTACTGAAAATGTAAGCTGTAGAGAACAAAAAAACTCTGGTCGCCTGTTCACAGCTCACTCACTGCAACGTTGAATCCTGGGCTTAAGCAATCCTCCTGCCTCAGCTTCCTGAGTAGCTGGAAATATAGGCATGTGCCACAATGCTGGGCAATATTTTTAAGTAGTGGTAATCTCTCTCGATGTGTTGCCCAGGTTAGTCTCAAACTCCTGTCCTCTATCCAGCCTCCCACCTTGGTCTTCAGAAGTCCTGGGATTACAGGCTTGAGCCACTGTGCTCACTCCTATAATTTGATGTTTTCAACAATACTATGTAGTGAAATGCATCACGAAGACATTTTGCAAAAGAAAGCTCACTATCACATATAAAGTTGTATACTTGTCATGTGCTCACGTGAGCGCATGTTCTTGCCTGTCTGAATGTTTTCTGAGAACTGATCATCTTTTCCCCAGGGACACTGGTTGAAGAGCTGCGGGGATTGTCTGGGAGGGTGTCTCGGGCCCGGAAACGTAATCCAGGAGAGATCAGAAGACCGGCGACCCCATGGGCCTCCATCTCTTTCTCCTTCCTTGACAACCCCTAAACCAGTGACCCCACTCATTCCAGGCTGGAACGTCGTTCGGTTGTCATTTGGCGTCACCTAGCGGTCACTGTTATTGAAAATGGAGGCATCACACCAAAACTTCTGGCCGCCCGCGCACAGCCAGGGAAAACTGGTTTCTCTCGGGCCCCACCCTGACCTCAGATGCACTCCTTCTGTCCCTCCCCCAATGCCTTGTTGCCTAGGAAACCTCCACCCTGGCTGGGAATGCTTATTTCTTTATTTATTTAGAGACAGAGACAGTTTCGCTCTTGTAGCCCAGGTTGAAGTTCAATGGCGCCATCTCGGCTCACTGCAACCTCTGCCTCCTGGATTCAAGCGATTCTCCTGCCTCAGCCTCCCCACTAGCTGGTATTACATGTGCCTGCCTCTACTCCCAGCAAATTTTTGTATTTTTAGTAGGGACGTCATTTCGCCATGTTGGCCAGTCTGTTCTCGAAGTCCTGACTTCAGATGATCCACCCACCTCAGCCTCTTAAAGTGCTGAGTTTACAGAAATAAGCCAGGGCGCCTAGGCTATCATTTGTTTTTCTTTCTTCCTTTTTTTTTTTTTTTTTTTTTTAGTAAGCATGAACAGTTCTACCTGGGTTTTAAAAATTGTGTGTGTGAAAGAAAAATAAATCTTGAGGCTTCCAAATCACTAAAGTAAAGGGAAAAGTCAAGCTGGCAACTGTTTAGGGCCAACCTGCCATTCTATTCAAAGTCACTCCTCTGCTCTTTTCTCTTTTTTTTTTTCTTTTTTGAGATGGAGTCTCGCTCAGATGCTCAAGCTGGAGCCCAGTGGAGCAATCTCGGCTCACTGCAACATTCGCCTCCTGGTTTCAAGCGATAAATGTATATTTGATTGCCTCCTTTGGAGAGGCTAATTAGAAACTCCAAAGAATGCAACCATTTGTCTCTTAACTACCTTTGACCAGGAAGTCCCCTCCTCACTTTCAGTCTTCCCGCGTTTGCTAATTTGTCCCGCCTTTGCAGACCGAACCAATGTTCATCTTGCATACTTTGATTGATGTCTCATGTCTCCCTAGAATGTATAAAACGATAATGTTCTCTGTTTACCTTAGGCACATGTCCTCAGAACCTCCTGAGGCTGTCACGGGTATGCGTCCTGAACCTTGGTTACGTAAACTTTCTAAATTAACTGAGACCTCTCTCAAGTTTTCAGGGTTCACAACGGAAAGTGCATTGTAGCTCCACCCTAGGGCTTATCATTAAGAAAAACTATCCTATATCTCTGCAGATACAGTCAAACCGGTTGTATGTAAACTGTATGAAACTAAATGCACTTATTACAAGTAAATGAATAAATGCTGAGAAAAAAAATCATGAACCGCTCACCTTTCAAAGAAGCAATAATACTATGAATTATGTGTAATTTCCAGAGTCAGCTAGTTTCAAAATTGTCCCCACTAAACTTGGAAAGGTTCCAGAGTGAGCTATTGTGCCTCCAGCCTTTGCTCCTCCCCCTTCTTTCCCCTGCGCCCTCCCCTCAACCTTTGCCGGCAATCACATTCTCTGATTCTGCAAAAGCAGGTGGGAGCCCTAGAGAGAGTTCTCGTTTTTTTTTTTTTTTTTTTTTTTTTCTTTTTTGAGATGGAGTCTCGCTTAGAGGCTCAGGATGGAGCCCAATGGAGCAATCTCGGCTCACTGCAACATCCGCTTCCTGGTTTCAGGCGATTCTACTGCCTCAGCCTACCGAGGAGCTGGGTTAACAGGCACCCGTTATTATGCCCAGCTAATTTTTGTATTTTCATAGAGACAGGGTTTAACCATGTTGGCCACGCTGGACTCGAACTCCTGCCATCAGGTGATCTGTCAGCCTCAGCCTTTCAATGTGCCGAGATTACAGGCGTGAGCCACTGTGGCCAGCGAGTTCTCTTTTCTTTGTGAAGGGCAAGGCAAAGTGGAATGGATTAATCTAAAAGCGGAGTGCATGCCCTGGAAAACATCATGGTTAGACCCATGTGAGACAGGTTAGTTTTACTGCGTGTGTTCTCCATGTGTTGTTGCCCATGTGTTGCTACCATGGTAATCCTGCTGAGTATGAGAGGAATCAAAGTTTCACACATTTGGTGTATGTGCTTGACTGAGGAACCAATGGGGTGAAGCTACCATCTGTGGGATTATGACTGAACGCCTCTAAATCAGAATCCCGCCCAGAAGAAAGGATGCAGCAGCGCTGGCAAGACTCGGTTGGCCTCAGATAGCCAGTCCCCAGCCTTTGCCACCGGCCGGACGCTCCGCCCCGCTGTGCGCCAAGACCTTGCTCCGGTCTTATCATCCTAAAAAACGGGGTGCGGCCCCCCATCCTAAAAAACGGGGTGCGGCCAGAAAGGCGTTTGCTCCCTGGCCCGTCACATAACATGCTCATGGGGAATCTGATACTAAACTATTGGTAAACGCCCTGCTTCTGGGTCAGGGTTTCCTATGGAGCAGAGCAACTCCCTCACTGCAACCTATTGAAAGTCAGCCCTCCACACAAGGGGCTCTCAACCAGTGTGCGGGAAAGCTAGCGTTGTGGCGTGTCCTGTATAATTCAGCCCTGGACCTCTACCTTCCTTCTTCCCTCCTTTTGCCCCGGGGACTTAGTTCCCGGGCCTGCTCAGGCCCCCCGCCCCGGAGCCCCAGGGCATGCAGGGCTGTCTCTCGCGAGATAACATTGGCGTCGGCCGTGCATTTGGGAGGGGTCGTTCCCCAACAGCAGGCTTTCCAAGATGCAGCGCTGGGGGTTGCGAGGTAGGGTTGGCGCCCCTGCTCGATGTTCCACCTCTCTGATTGAGCTTCTTTCTCCCATCCCGCTGGGAATTCCTCCACGAGTTGGGACCGGATTCTTCGAGCCTCGTGCGAATGGCTGAGGCGCGGGTGTCAGAGGTTTTGCCCCTGCAGTCCCTGCCTGAGTAGTGTTCGCGCGATGCCCGTGGGTGGCTGTTGGGGTCACAGTCCCTCTCCCCGCCTCAGGGGTGCTGGGATGAAAGACTAGCTAGTCACTACCCTTGTGTCTTTACTCCTCTTCTCTGTCCGGGTCAACCAGCGGACTGCGGGGAAATGGCTGGCAGGTCTGCCAAGTTAGACGGCCTCAAACCTGGGCCGGTTCTGTGTGATAAGGTTCCAACTGCGTCTGATCGCTTCCCTCCGCGAGCACCACATTTGGTCTTTAGGGTGGACCCTGTCGATTAGATGCTGGCGTTTGGCTTCCCGATCAGCCCGCGAATCAGCCGACTGCGGGAAGCAAGCAACATCCAGTTGACACGGCCGCGGGCTTCTCTGTCTGGAAGACCTGGGACCAGGGCCTAAGGCCCCAGTCCTCAGGTCTCTGGTCGCCGTGCCCACCTGATGTCCGCGGCAAGCGTTGGACTTGACCGTCAACTTGGGATTTCTAAGGTAGACCAGATAACTTTGGTCAGCAGCAGTACCGCCCGCATTCACTAGGTGTCGCTTTTTCCTTGCGTTGTTTCTTCCTCTCCAACTGTTTCCACAGTACTTTCAGTTTCTCTTCGTTTTGTTTTTCTTTTATTTTTCTTGCTCCTCTTTCTACACACTGAAGTTGCTGTTGTTTTACATTTACCTTTTATTTATTTGTAGTTTTTGAGGCAGGTTGGAGTGTAAGAATGCAATCTCGGCTTACAGCCGCCTCGACTTTCCAGGACTCCCTCAGGTGATCTTCCTATCTCAGCCTTCCAAGTGGCTGAGACTACAGGAATCACTTAATTCTGTGATGTCGAAGCTGAAGTGAGCCGTGATGATGCCTTGCCCTCCAGTCTGAGTGTTTCAGAAGGTAAGAGAGACAGGTTAAAGAAAAAAATTCCTTGAAATAAACTGCAATTAATTGTGATCTAAATTACCTTTTATAGTTTTTCACTCCCACGAGTTTGTTTATTATTATTGCTGCTTATTATTTCTTTGTATTATTGTTTGTCATTATTGTTATTGTTTTTATTATTTATGTAATTATTTAGAGATGGAGTCTTCCTCTATCACCCAGAGTGCAGTGCAGTGGCGCGACTTTGGGTCACTGCAGCTTCAAATGCCTGGGTTCAAATTCGCAATATGGCGAAACACCCTGTTTACTAAAATCTGTCAATGACACCTTCAGGACCGTTGGTTGTGGCGGCTGCAATTTCGGAGCCTGAGGAGGGCAGTTCGCTAGAGCTCGGGAGTTCAAGACAGCCTCGGAAACAGACTGCAGAGCATTTGTCTGACCAAGACCCGCTGCAGCCTCCACCTCCCGACCCCAAGCGATGTTCTCAACTCAGGCTCCAAAGGATCTGGGACCACAGGCGCCTGCCACCACAATGCCCGGATTTTTTTCTTTTCTTTTCTTTTTCAGTAGAGACGGGGTCTCACTGTGTTGCCAGGGCTGGTCTCAAAGTCCTAGGCTCTAGCAATTCTTCCAACTCAGCCTCCCAAAGTGCTGGGATTATAGGTGTGAGCCACAATGCCCTGCCCTCTTTTTTATTTCCTTCATTTTTTCTCTTTTTTTCTTTCTCTTTCTTTCTGTCTTTTCTTTTTCTTCTCTCTTTTTCTTCCTCCCTTTTTTCTCTCATTTCTCATTCTTTTTTTTTCTGTTTCTATGTCTTTTGGTTTTCTTTTTCATCTTTCTTCCCTTTACATCTCTGTCTGTCTATTTTCTTTTTCTTGATCTTCCTTACTCTCTCTCTCTTTTCTTCATTTCTTTCTTTCCATCCCTCTGTCTGTCTGTCTTTGTGTGGATTTTGGAAAATTCTCCTTATTCTGTATCTCCCTGTGTATCACAAGCCTCTGTGACTTTCACTTTGTTGTTTTTCCTCCTTGTCGCGTAAAAGGCATTCACTGCTCTTTTATTTTGGTGCTCTGTGGATGTTCGAAGGGTGGGGAAAAAGTGGTCCACGAATGTGATTGGTTTCATGAGAGACACGAGAGACAAAAGAACATATGATGATTACTTCGCTAAATGCCCTGTTTATTCTTTCAACTGCACTCATACAAGTAAGGACGCAGTTGGTGGGTTGAGAGATCTCTGTGTAGTCATGACTCTGCAATTATACTTGACGAGAGCGGTGATGATGAACGGGCGGCATGGAAACCTGCCCTTCTTTGGTGTCAGTTGAGCACAGTGAGAAGAGATTCACAATGGCCTGTATCTCAACCTGATGGTACTGTGTTTCTGCTCTGATCTTTAGGAATGAGAGAAGCATTCCCGTGCATTCCTGCAACGTCCTTGAAGTTTTCTTTTTAAACTTTTCGATTAACTAACGTATTTATTAATTTATTTGAGATGGAGTCTTGTTCTGTTGGTCAGGCCATGGCGCAGTATCGGGCCACTGCAACCTCCGCCTCCCAGGTTCCAGCGATTCTCTTGCCTTAGCCTCTCGAGTAGCTGGGATAACAGGCACGTGCCACCATACCCAGCTAACTTTTACCTTTTTAGTAAAGACAGGGTTTTCCCATGTTGCCCAGGCTGGTCTTGAACTCCAACTTCCAGGAATCCTGTGGCCTCGTCCTCCCAAAGTGCTGGGAGATCCCAGGTCATCAGACTCGAGAAAGAATGTTGGTTGATATAGAAAGGCGAGACACACTGCGCCCGACCCAAATTGCTATTTTTAAAAATAAACCAGTAGGCTGGGTGCAGTGGGCCACTCCTCTCATCTCAGCAGTTTGCTAGGCGGATGTGGGAGGATTACGAGGTCAGGAGTTTGAGACCAGCCTGGCCAACATAGTCAAACTCTGTCTGTATGAAGAATACAAAAATTAACCAGGTGTGGTGTCACACACCTCTACTCCCAGCTACTCTATATGCTGAGGTAGTAGAATCTGTTGAAGCCGGGAGATGGAGATTGCAGTCAGCCCAGATCATGCCACTGGACTCCAGCTTGGGTGACAGAGTCAGATTCCATCTAAAAAAAAAAAAAGTAATTAAAAATAAGTGAGTTTCCAAGAAGAAATAGAAACCCGCAGTGACACAAACATATGCATCTCACCTTTCGAGGCAGCAATGACACTACAAACTTGTAAACTCAGTTCATTTCTTGACTGCGGACCATGGGTATTTGTGATGCTTCCTCTTGGAACATAGTTCTGTGTGACACCATACCCAGCTAACATTTGCCTTTTTAGTAGTCAGAATTTTGCTATATTGCCCAGACTGCTCTTGAACTCATGAACTCCAGGTATCCGCCCGCCCAAAAAAAAGAGTTGTGATGAAAGGAGACACACAGATGGATTTCAGCCCTTAAAATGGTGCATGCTGCCACATTTCACAGATCTTCCCTGGGCCTTACTGGTATTTGCCCAACATAGAAATGCTTTCTAAAAAGTGACAATTTGCTTACATAATATTTCCACAAGCGATGCCTTGGTCTGTGTTTGTTTTTACGTTTTGTTTTGTTTGTAGTTTTTACTTTACTTATCTCTTTTCAGTTGAAGTAGATTTTACCAATTTTAGGAAGATGTGTATTTTCCCCAAAACCTGTTAGCTGGTGTTTTCTTCGGTCATTAAGTAGCGATTTTCGGAATCTCTCAAGGTACAGTGAGAGCCGATTGGTATAAACTATACTTCATAAAATCTTCTTTCCTTTTCATTTTTTTTTTTTTTTTTTTTGTCTTTCAGGTGGAGTTTCGCTCTTATTGCCCAGGCTGGAGTTCAGTGGCGTGACCTCAGCTCACCGCAACCTCTGCCGCCTGTGTTCAAGAGATTTTCCAGTCTTCACCCTTTCGAGTAGCTGAAACCACAGGCAAACACCTCCAGGCCTGGCTAATTTTTTTTTTTTCATAGAGACTAGGTAGCTCCATAATGGTCAGGCTGGTCTAGAACACCCAACCTGAGGCGTACCACCCAACTTGACCACCCAAAGTGCTGAGATTAAAGGCGTGAGCTCCGCGTCTGGCCATAACATCTTATCCTATAGAAGCCCAGAGAGGTTAGGTATGTAGTCCCTGAGACCAGCCTTCCTTGGATGAACTCCAAAGTGATGGCTGAGGATTAGGGAGTGTGGGGTGGGGGCTGGAAAGTCGGTCCCCTATTGTTGCTACCTAGGCCATGACATCCCCATACTCCCATCGCCTGCTCACCGTTTGAGATTCCCCCCCACCACCGCCTTGGTGGCTGAACTCTTACTTTAATTTCTGTCTTTCTTCGTTTGTTGGGTTTCAGGAGGGGGTGCAGGAAAGACGGTGTGCGTGGGGAGGGGGTGTAGGGTGGGGATGGAGGGGAGCGTCCTAAGGGTCGATGTAGTGTCATGCCTCTTTCATCACCACCACCGAAGATGAAACAATAATCATCTAAATACCGCGTGTTCTCACACATAAGTGGGAACTACATAATGAGAATGCATGCGAAGAACTAGGGGGACGAGAGACGCAGGAGCCTACCTGAGGGAGGACGTGTGGAAGGACAGACAGCTTCAGGACAAAGCAAAACGAGCAGAACACAAAAACTGTAGGGGACTGCGCTGAGAATCCGGGTGAGGAAATCATCGGCACACTGAACCCCCTACTCAGAAGTTTACCTATGAAACAATCTTGCACATGTATGCTTCAAAAACAAATAACAGTTAGGGAAGAAAGAGAGAGAGAGAGAAAGAGAGAGAGACAAGTAAAATAAAGCACCACCTCCTTGACCTGACTCAGGGCGTTTGGGGTCTTCTGGGGAAATGTTCTGAAACAATGGAGTATTTTGGTCTGTTCTTTCTTGTGTCTTTTTTTTTTTTTTAAGACGGACTCTCGCTCAGCCACCCAGGCTGGAATGCAGTGGTGCACTGGGTTCACTGCAGCAAATATCTCCCGGGTTGAAGCGATTCTCCAGTCTCATCCTCCTGAGTGGCCGGGATTACAGTCACGCGCCATAATGCCCTGCTAATTTTTGAACATTAGTAGAGAAGGGGTATTGCCATGCTTGCGACGCTGGACTTGAAGGC